>NC_000006.12:93813280-93964219 GCF_000001405.40 Homo sapiens | reverse complement strand
TATGTATTAGAAACTGTAGAAAGGCTATCATGACACAATATAAAAGATAAAGAAAATAATGAAAAAATAACGATTACTGACTTACATAGCTCATTAGCTCATTTCTCAACATAAATAAAATATCCTAAAGTGTAGTCAACCTATTCACACATGAAGTAAGGACCAAATCTGTCTAGGAAACAAAGTAATATGAAAACCATAAGCTTAAAGCAATCAGAACTGATGGAAATGGCTAATGAGAAAATTAATCTATTTGCATGGTAGAGAAAGTGGAAATAATTTCTTTCACATTACACAAATCAAGGCTTCATAATTAGATTTGACACAAATACAGGTATAACCTCATTGCATGGGACATTAGGTTGTACTACAAAGTAATTTAAGTTGAAAATGTAAGTTCCATTAAGAAATAAATTCACCGACCTAATAAGACCAGGAACATATTCATGATAAAATAACAGAAAATCAATAACACTTTACTAATTTAAATATTTAGTGTAGCCTGGGAGAACAAAATGAAGGAAAAGAATACTGAAATCTAATTGTATTGCTCAGATTGAGTAAAATGTGAATAGTAAACAAGCAAAATACATATTAAAAATTAAGTGGCACTTTTTTCAATTTATCCCAAATTAGTTGTGTTACTATATATTCACTCAGTGCTAGTTTACTATAGACAGAAAATCAAGGAAAGACTAGCATTCTGACAATCCTAGAATTTAAATTACCTGTATATTCATTACTCTGCAGTTTTATTTACCATTAAAAAATACAAGAACAAGTCAAAGACCTATTATGGTTGGGAAAATGGTGAGAACTTTCAGAAAGTTATATACTAAGGTCTTTCTTATACCTGGAGCTAAGAAAAAATATAAATATACTTTATTTTTACTTATTTGAAAGGAATGGAATAACTATAGTTACATTTGGTTTGATTTATAGTCTGGCAATTGAAAATACTCAAAAGAGAAGGAGATTGTTTGGTAGTCTCTTACATGCTTTCCTTAAATGTGCCAGCCAGTTATCATCAATTCATTTTTTCTCACATCCAAATGTACCCTTAAATATCTGATTTGAGATCATGAACTGCACTCTCTAAGCATTTCTCCTCTACAATGGATATATATTTTGTCACTGGAAGGTGCTGGAAGGGCACTGCAAGAAGGAGAGGGAGCTTATCTTCCCGGATCCAAACTGCTACTTTTGCTCTGCCTTGCTCCTGCTACATAGAATGTCATCAATGTGTGTGTCAGTGAGGAGGGTGGAAGAGAATTCCCCCAAACTGCAAATCCCTCAGTGACCTTGCTTCCTTGGCCCTGACCCTGACAACACCTTGTCATGGCCCTCCTTATGCAGACATTGCATGATCTAAGACATGTGCCTGCAGTGCCTGGACCCCATCTGTGTGCCTACACACCAGCTTCAGCTTGACTATGACTCACAGAGTTGCTTCATGTGGCCTTCCCAATGCAGACTAAGAGCTCCAAACCGCCTACAGGTGGTGGCTCACTGACTTCCCTGTTTGCCTGCACACAAATGTGTCTTGCCTTTGCTGTGGAAGGCTGTTTCCTGCTTGCACAGTGACTATGGACCAGATCTAGCCTGGGCAACAAGGTAAAATTTTTTGCCACTCATTGGGTTACAACTATATCTTCTTCAACAAGGCCTTGGAATGGGACCTCCCTTCTCAATTTGTCCTTTCTGAGTGACTTTCTCTCTACCTTAAAGCATCCTTCATAGTTCTCTTTATATTTGTATACTAGCCTTGTATGTCAGTGGTCCTTAGTTCCATCCCCATTTTCCATAATTGGCTAAGACTAACAAGTCTCAGCATGTATTCTTATCATGGCTATAATTTATTACAGGGAAAGGGTACAAAGAAAAATCTGCCAAAGGAAAAGTAGTATTGAACGAGGTTCCAGGTAACAAGAGTCTTCTCCAAGTCAAGTCCCAAAGAACTCAATTTTTTCAGCATCAAATACTGACAACTATACGTGAGGGATTATCTATTAATGGAGATCATTAGAGATGCAGCGGCCAGGGCTTTTATTGGAGGGTGGTCACATAAGCACCCTCTTACCTAGTATATATCAAAATTCTAGACTCCTGAAAGAAAACAGGCGTTCCACATTAAACAGATAATTTTCATAAACAGGTTAGGCACTGTGAGCCATTTTTTATCAGGGAATGGTTGAAACCCTTCTAGAATCCAAATTTCCAGAAACCAGACAAGGTCCAACCTTGGAACCAATCCTTTCTAAGAATAGTCATTTCAAGCCTGTTAACTATTTTTCTTCACACCTAGCATCGTTTAATAATTCTTTATATTAAGCTTCTTCTGTTGAAATTGTGGTGAGGTTTCTATCTCTTAATTGAACTTAGACCAATATGCATACAATTACTTCTTGGGGCATATTAGATTTTTTCAATGTTACACTAACTTCTAGTCTCTTCAGAAAATACTTAGAAAATTACTGCTGCAGAATACTAAATATTATCAGAAGTTAGCCTCATGACACCAAACAACGGCTCAATTTAGGCAATTTAGGAGAGGAAATTTGGACAGCTGGTAGCTAGGTTTATGTCTGTGCCCAAAAGTCATTTTAGACTACAGCAAGTAAAAAAAGGAACAAGTGTGAAGTCTGTGAGACATGTTCTTGTTTTTATGTTAAAAAAAACTTTTCTTTCAACTATTTTGCTATATTTTGAATATTCAAATTATTTTAAAATATTCATTAAGAAAAAGGATTGGCTACTTTAAAATTCTATGAGCTTAAACATAGGAAATGGGAAAATGTTAAAACTGGAGATAGCAGAAGCAAAATGTATTTTACACATGTCCTACGAAACAGGTGGGAAATTGAAAACGTAATGCAATCATGTGGGAAACTCATTCTGAGTACTTTCTGATAAGGCAAAACTGCCATCAAGCCAGGGTAGTACCCAGGCTACTGTGTTAACCTTTGAGTTTTATTTATTTAGCTCCAGCAAAAGCTAAAAAGCAAAAGCTGAGTTGAAAAGGGCCATTTTTTTTCCTGTGGATTTCAGATTTATTGAATTCTTGGAAAGCAAAACTGAAGAATTCCTGACTAAAGGCTTTCTGGTAAGTACCTATGAAAAGCTATGATTCCTATGCATAGCAGGATGAAGAGAGACTAGCATACGCCTCTCTGATGTTGCAAATAGTAGATAAAAAGTAGAGGCCATCTGTCATCAAAACTCCCCTGAGAAAGTAGGTTCTGTTTGGACTTTGGTGGTAAAGAATCAAATAATTTCAGAAGGTAAATATGCTGTACTTAAAAGCCAGCCAGCCTAGCCCTATAAGTTTACAGGTAGGGAGCTAAAGACAGGAGAGAGAACGTTATATGCCAAAGAAGCACAAGTTATGAGTACTTTCTGATTACTAGTAAGATAGTAGAAACAGAATTAGTAACTATAATACAAATACAAGTCAATAATCTTTTCATAGACCATTTGATCCTATTAGAGAGAACACACAACGTTAGAAACTTATGACTCCTAACAGAAAAGCTGAATAAGAATGCAATGTGGTAGGCATCAAGAGAGGTTATGTTAAAATCATCGTATACTTGAAACATCAGGGAGGGGACTCACTTTGGATTTTATAATTTACCTTTCTTTTATCTGCTATATATTTTATACAAGTTTTTAGAGGCCATTTTAATTATTACTCTTCCTGATGATTTATCTAGTATATCTTCATGTAAACAGCATAGTTGATTTGAGAGGTTTTTGGTTTTGCTTTTGACGATTTACACTGGTCACATGAGATCCAATGTATCAGATGCCTAGCACCAGTACTTCAGACTAACATTCAGCAAGAGTTAGCACCCTTATCTTGCCCTACTATATTTTACACTTTCTGACAGTCTGTAGCATTGCCATCCTTATTATCTTACAACAGTAATTTAATTATGGCTTAAAGTTTTAATTCAGCTGCCAAATACAGACATGATTCATGTGGTCTTGAGGTGTTACAGTGTACAGGTTTTTTTCTGGGTCGTTCTGTACACTAATTTAGCATTTAGTGATGCATTTCATCCGATAAAGATTATCTCCTTCAACATCCTTAATTACCTTGGACATCTTCATGAATGGGGAATTGAGATGTTATTTATATTTTTAGCCAATCCTGAGTGTAGGAAAGATAACTCTTATACTCAGGCATATGCATTTCCATATAAGTCTCTCACGTTTGGTCTAAATTTGGCTAATGGGTGGTAGATAAACAAATGAAAACAACCAAGGCAGTCTTTCAAGTGTGTACAGACAGGTCTATGGCCATGGCAGGGCTTCTCTTCTCAGCACTAAACTTCATAATTTTATCAACTTTTCTTTTTATATTACTCTGCTCCTACCAAACTCTTTAGAGTAATCTTATATATTTTCAATGCTTTCCCAAAATAAGAACTCAAAAACTGAGCTCAATGCATCTCATCAATGCAGACTACAATATCATGTTTCTAGTGTACTACTATTAACGGATTAATAAATTACTTTAATATTTTAAACAATGTTTTCATAGTTATCAAATTTCCTGAGGTATAACTTTACACAAATAGCTGTAGAAAAAGAGCCCCCTCTTACTTTTAAAAAGTGAATAAATAAATAAATAAATTTAAAGAGTACAAATTCAGCTTTGTTACATGGATATATTGCTTAGTGCTGAAGTCTGGACTTTCAGTGCAACCACATGAATCATGTACATTGTACTCATTAAGTAATTTCTCAGCCTTCATCCCTCTTCCACTCTCCCCTTTTCCAAGTCTCCAATATCTGTTATTCCACACTCAATTCCAAGTATGTACATTATTTTGCTTTCAGTTATAAGTGAGAAAATGCAGTATTTGACTTTATGTTTCTTAACTATTCTTTTGTAGTGAATTTTATGAACATGAATGCATGTCTTAACTTTTATTTCTGTAGATTGCACTTCTTAGATTTTGATACTTTTTAAACCTCAATTCTATCATTCATTAACTCTTCCAATCCAGTAATGTTTGTATTTGTAGATTTAATAAGAAAACTATCTAAGTTCACCCCCCACCAAAAAAAAAAAAAAAACTAAATGAAGGTGAAAGCCCTATGATGTTAGGTATCAGAGGGTAACTCTCAACTTCCTGATTTCATATCCATTTATGTGTTGTATAATGCAGTTTGGGAAAGAGTCTTTAAAGTACAACCTTTCATTATACAAAAAACTATTCCACTAAATTACTTAATTGGCACTCCTTTAGCGTGCTTACTTAACAAACTAAAAACCTTTCACTGAACTCAGAGCACATTTCTTGAGATTTTACACAAAGATACTATGAAAAATTTTGAAAAAGCCATGATGGAGAAATTACATCTTAGATATTGTTTCTATAGTTGTTACTTTATATAGACTCCTTGCAAAACGGATATGGGGCTAGTTTAAAATGATTTCTTTTATAGGCATCCCATAATGGTTTTTGTTCTGATCCTTTCAAAGGTATATATCCAATACATTAAATGAATTGAAAGTGTATTTCATCGGAAATCCACAAAAATACATGCTAGAGGAGTGATATGGGGAAAATGAGTTAATTGGATTTTTCACAATTGGACTGCAATACTAAAGATAGAAGTAATTGTTTCAAAAGTTAAAAATTATTTAATCGGAGATGAAATTTGGACATCATTCTAGGAAATACCAAGACCAGGATATATTAGTTTGTTGTCCAAAACTCTGCAGGTTTATAAAAATAGCTTCTCCAGTGACAGAGAAACATGTTTGGTTTTGTATAACAGCAAAAATTCAATGGAAATATAGTTGATTAAGAAAGATAGAGCAAGGTGGGACAAATGACCCTATTGACCCTATTGAGACAGAAAGCCACAGTCCGTGTTCTGAAGCCAGGATTCAGACTCTTGACATTTGGGCCCCAAAGTCTCTGCTCCTATTCACTTCAGTATGCCACTTTTTGTTTGTAATTCGTGTCTCAGTGTGGAAGTCGAACGTTTGCCCTGTTTGGAAAGCAGCTATATGAGCAATTCGGGAATTAGAGTTATAAAAAAGGCATTTAAAATAATCTATAACGTTAATACTTTAAGCATTCATTATCATTCCTATCATTTAATCATTATCATGTAATTGTTATTACCAAGACTGATAGAGATAGACATTATACTATATAAGTTTTACCTGCGTTTCATATATGTTTTTTGATTTACATGTTATAGATATATGGTTTACATATTATAGATATAACAAGAAACGGACTGTCCCTCCAGGTTTCTCATTTTTAGTCTGCTATTCTTCTATCCTACAAAATAAGTTAAAAACCATTGGAAAAAATCACATGGAACAGGTCTCTTAACAGAAGTCAACTGAGCATTTTATGCACTTTTGTTTCCAGCTTTACTGAGATGATTGACAAACAAAACGTAAAAATATTTAAGATGTACAACAAGATGTTTTGATATATATACATTGTAAAATGATTACCACAATCAAGCTAGTTAACATAGATCTATCACCTCACAGAGTTACCACACTGTGTGTGTGGTAGAACACTCCTAAACTATTATCTTAGAATAGATCAGAGAAGATAAGCCTTATTCTCAAGTATACATTATTATTAATTAACTATAGTTACTATACTATTAGGTCTCCTGAATTTATTAATTCTTTAACTAAAAGTTGTACCTTTAACTAGCGTCTCTCATATCCCCTGCCTCCCAACCTCTAGTAACCACTCTACTATTCGCCACAATAAAATATTATTCAGCTGTTAAAAAACAGAAGACAAAAAAAGAAAGAAAGAAAGAAAGAGAAAAAGAAAGAAATCATACTATTTGCAACAATGTGGATTAACCTGGAAGACATTATGCTAAATGAAATATGCCGAGTACAGAAAGAAAAATGCTGCATAATTTTACTTATGGTGTAGAATCTGAAAAATCAAACTCATGTACTTTCTTAATAATTTACCCTTGTTTCCTCTCTCAAATTATTCTAAGATTTTACCATCATTGGTATTAGAGTTAATTTGTTTTAGAAAAAAATAGCTGTCCAACAGAACTTTGTGATGATGGAAATATTATGTTGTGTGGTGTTCAAAATGATACTATACTTGTGCAGTTACTGTGCACTTGAATGGTGAAGCCAGCCAGGCCTTGAGGTGGAGATAGGGAGCTGATGATTAGCTAACAAAATACAGGTAACTAGAAGGAAGAAGACCTAGTGTCTGGTAGCACAGTAGGGCAATTAGAGTTAACAGTAATTTATTGTACATTTCAAAATAACTAAAAGAGGGAAATTAAAATGTTCCTAACACAATTATCCTGATTTGATCATTGCACATTTTATGCTTGTATCAAAATATCAGTGTACCCCATAAATATGTACAGCTATTATGTATTCATAATAATTAAAAATGAAAGCACTGTAAAATGAAAAAATGAGACAATGTGACTAAAAAACTGAATTTTAAATTTTATTTAATTGCAATTAATCTAAATTTAAGTAGATATATGTAGGTATTGGTTACCATACTAAACAGTGCAGTTATAGAACATAACATTACTGGTTTTTGGAATAGAGTCATTTGATCACCTTAACCTGGAACTTCAGATCTGATTTCTCTAGTGAAAAACTAATTTATTAAAATAAAATGTTATGCAGACAATAATATATAAATCAGAAATGGGCGAAGCCACCCTGGTCAATGTGTCAAGGAAGGGGAAACCTGGATTTTGCAGAATGAGTAGAGGTTAGCAGCTGGACTCTCAGCTCCCTACTTACACTCACATCAGAAACAGCTAAGGGACCACTAAGACACTGAAGAACATGATTTGAAAGCAACTGATGAAAATGTTTCAGTGCCTCTGGCATCTTTCATGATTTCTTAAATATTTATAAAATTCATTTTATGATTAACTCATTTTAAAAACATTTTTCAAGAGATTTCCACTGTGCTATCAGCAATGATGCTAAGATTAATAAAACACAACTATTGCCCTCATGTAACTTAAAATTTAAGATTTTGTAAAAATCCAACATTGCAATTTTAGTGTGTTAAATTCTATAGATGATATAGGTATGAAGAACAGGGTGGGTAAGTTCAAAGGAAGGAGAAATAATGCTTCACTGAAGACATAACACATAGGCTGAGTCTTGAAAAATTAGCGTGAATCAGGAGGACAAGGGGTGTAGGTTGGGGCAGGATATCCTCAGTACACAAATTCTTGTAGTATACTAAGTAGTCGTTATTTAAAGGTAATGAATGTTCTCTTTACCCAGAGCCAGGTAAAATTTTATCTTTTCTTATTTGTTGAGACTTAATCATTTATTATAATCATTTCTTCATTTTCTAATTAAAAGATAAATATCTTTGAAATAAATGAGAAACCAAATAGTATTTAAGTCCTTTTGCCTTCTCTATTATATGGATTCTTTAAGCCACATTTTTCCAACTTGAAAATAAAATCAACTATTTTGTCCCTGCTTTCAACAGATCTAGTAAAGCAGTGAGGAGAGAGAGGTGCTCCACTGGGAATATTATAAAAAATGTATGTAGAGGTGTATACCCCAGAATATCATGTGATAAAGCAGCTATAAAAATGATAATTTATTTGTGTGGGAATTTATAGTTTGTAAACATTTTCATATTTTTATTTATTTGTTCTGAAGTTATAGTGGACAAATAATTATTTCTGGTCAAATAATTATTTCATGTTTTATGAAAGCATGTAACAAAAACAAGTAATCCCTGATTATTGCAGAAATATCTGATGTTTTATAGATTTGTCTTACCTATTTCAAGAGGCAGGCAATCTTAACAAAAAATAGATGCCTACAGAAAAAAAGAGATAGTTTTATCAAGTTAACCCCAATTACATTAATTTGGAAACATCTGAGCTTGAAGAAAGAGTATTGAATCATAAAAAGAAAGGTTGTAAAAAAGAAATTAATAACAAGTTAACAATAGAGCATAGAATATATTTTAATTATAATAAAATATCAGGAGTCAAGAATAGCTAGTTGAAAAGTATAAGGACTCAGGCTATCCAGTTAAAAATCTTTTGGCAGCAATGCTTGTGGTGAACATTCTATAGAACATTATATGTAAATACCATAGGTAAGAATATTTATAAATAAAAAGTTGTTAATTTCATACTCAGAGGACAGATGATAGTATATAAACAGCTATAGACATTAAGTAGAAAAATTATCTTCTTTAAAAATGAACATCTATTGAATTTCTTACATGAAAACCATAGTTACCATTTTCTTTTCTCAAACATTGTTACATTAATGTTCACTTATTGTCTATACATTTTCCTTCAAGTTGACATAAATATATGGGTTACAGACTGTAGGCAACTCAGAGAGTATTACTTCTTGATGTTCATTGGTGTCTAGCTGATTTATTTTTGAACACTCTGCTATGTCTATCCTGATGGCGTGTGCTATAATGATCAATGTGAATGAGATGTATTTCCTGACTGAGCCAATATAAAAAGCATGAAAGTGAAACATTGCAGAAGGGTAAAGTCATTTTTATTTCTGCTTAGAAAAAAAAAACATACTTTACTGCCTTTGACCTTTCAGTGTTTTTTTGTGTTAGCCATCATATAATCCATTCTTAAAAAAACAATCACTTCCAAAGTGGCATAAAATAAACAAAGATATTGGGTAGAGGATGAAAGTATTCAGTAACAACCAATGCATAACAGAAAAGAAAGATTTGCAAATCATCGACTACAATGTATTTTTGGTTAAGGTTTTTTATACATATCAAGATTTAAAATACATTTTCAAGATGTAAAATATATTTTCAATATGTTTTCTCATGATTCCTCTGAAATTCTGTTATTTCTATGCATTCTTTTTGTATTTTCATCAAGGTCTAAATATTTAGATATATAAAAATGATTAAATACAATGTGGGGTCTACTTTAGTTCAAACAATAATAAAATTGTGAAATTTAAAGAACATAAATATTTAAAAACTCCTACTTATTTTTTATGTATCTTAACTTACTATTGTAGTTAAGTTTCTCATGATTTCATTTTACAAAGGGAGAGGCTGAGGTGATTAAGATGCTTGCTCAAAGTCAAGCACTAAACGATGGTTTAGTAAGGTCTTTCTGATTCCTGAACCATCCTGTTCTTTGCACATATGTGTGTGTGTGTTTGTGCATGTATATACACACACATATACATATATATATACACATATATATACAAACATAGTCTAAATGGCTTAGACATTGCCTAGCTAAGTGCCCTTTAGACAGAATAACTCATTTAAACTTCCAAAGAACTCCATCATGTAAGTACAATTACTCTGCAATTTCTCAATGAGGAAACAGAGAGAGAGTGTTTAGGTGACTGGCCCAAGGTCACAAAGCCAGAGAGTGAAGCCATATATATATATAGTGGGTATGGGGGTGGTGTGCATGCATGCACATGTATGTATTTATGTGTGTGTGTCTATATATAGATATATATCCTCCTAAATACTATCAATGTTTCTCTATGTAAAAACATTATGGATCATCTAGACAACGTTCCTTGGTTTTTGGTTTGGGAAACTAAAGGACTAAGAAATTCTGTGAAGAGTCCAATTTTAATAAGTGAGTTGGTGTGAGAGCCAGAAACTAGAAAATGTCTCTTGAACTTCCTCTAGGGTACTTTTCATTACATCATGCTGTTTCTGTATTATTACCATAAATTTTTGCCTATTCAACTTAACATATTAATGCATGTTTTAACCAAGGTGTGAAAATACAGAGATTCTGTCAGTTGGCTGGCATTAATAATGACCCCAGATATTAATGGTTCAGCAGTTTTTACCCCTAGTTGTGCTCCAGAATCAATCAGTGTATATAATTATTGTAAATATAAATGTGCAAGTGTAAACCTTGGAGTTTCTGACATAGTTGGTCTATCTTGAGGCCCTAGAATTTGTGTTTTAATAAAGTTCTACCAATATCATCATACAAACAGTAACAACAACAATTTTAGCTAACATATAATCACTTAACAAAGCGGTCTCAGTGCCAGACAATGTCTAAGGCTTGTAGACAGGATAACTCATTTAAACCTCCAAAGAACCCTATCATCTAAGTACTATTACAATGCAATTTCTAGATGAGGAAACTGAGACAGAGAGAGTGTAGGTGATTGAGTCAAGGTCACAAAGGCAGAGTGTAAAGCTAGGATTTAACCACCACTATCATGGACCTCTGTGATCTTAAGCAATACATTACTCAATTTCACCAAATCTCTTCTTTGGGGAGAAAAAAAATTAGAAAGATGGAATCTTAATAAATATTATGCCTATTCATAGATTAAATAGAAAAAACTAAATGTCTTTTCCTAGTTACAAAACTAGTGAGAGACTGAATATGCTACTCCAGGCTCAGTGTTTTTTCTCCAGCAAATTTACCTTTCCATTATAGCAATTTTGCTTTTCTCTAATTGTGATATTAAATGTAATATTAAATGTATTATTCATAATTCTCCATTACAATAAATCTTTGGTTGTATAATACAAAAAGTTGATCAGAAATATATTGAGAAACTAAGAGAATTGCTAAAAAGGTGGTTCAACACTCAAGTTTCAGGAACAGTGGTCCAAAACACTCCAGGAACTGGCTTGAGAAAAACATGACGGAGACTACTGCTACCTCTACTACGTTCAGCTGCCAGGAACTCAGTGTGACTGCCACCAAGACTCTGATGCATTGCCATCAGCTCTATAACCACAGTCAAAATTTTAACCACTATTACTCCCAGAAATCCACTAATCAATTTTGCCATCTTGCCAATGAATAGACCCTACACAGAGTGTACTTACCCATGGGAATTACTGCCAGATAAAGCTTCACCCAGGCAAGTGCAATTGTTGAAATACTGAGTTATGGTCCTGTGCCATAGCTGCGAGAGTGAGAACATGCACTTCTTAGCCTATGTCTATTTATAGATTGAAGAGAAAAAGCTAGGGGAGGTAGAACTCCTAAAGCAAGCAATTCTCAAAACACAGCAAGTTTGTTCAAGAGATACTAGAAAGCCAAAAAACATTGGGATAACAGATTTAGGGAAGGATGATGTTTATGTGATGAGATATTTGAAATCCAAGCCCTTGGAGTGTTAGTTGGATGAAAGGATATACCATTAGGAGAATCCCTCAAAAATAAGTTTTAGCTGTATTATTTTAAAAAGGCTGAGAAAGTTATTTTCCAGTTCTGCATCTTGGATTTGGAGGCTTCTGACAGCTTAAGGTATATTAAAAATAATAGAATCTCAGAGAAAAATCTAGATTTCAATACTACTAATATTTATTACTAGCAATGTAGTCCTGGATATGTATTTTTCTTTCCATTTCTGAAACCATATCCCTATCAGGGAAGTTGAAATAATATCCCTTTCTTCATAGAGTTGTGTGAGAATTAAATGAGATAGTACAAGTAAAATACCTTATACCAAACTATTAGTCTACTTTCTTCATCCCCTTTGGGGAATTTTTGCAATATATTGGAGATTTTTGAAACCAACATCATTAATTAAAATATATGCAAATTATTATGCTTATGGGTTTTCCAATGTAACTTGACCACTCCATCTATTATGACCCACACTACAAAAGAAAAGACCTAACTACTCCTAAATACTATACCTACCACTGAACCTTATTTAAGTATCTATTCATCTATTTATTTGAAGGCAGGAAGAAACTGTGAGATTAAGATGGCTAGACCGCCTACAATCATACAACATACATTTTTCCTTATCTATTCATTAATAGAATTATGATTTTATTTATTGAGATAATGACTGCTGGAAACCTGTGGAGTGCAGACCATTTCAAAGCCATATGGCTATGCGATTGATTTGTAGAAAGTGCCATACGGAACTTCTGGAAATGTGTGTTGAAAGATGGGGTACCTTTTAAATTTCCTTCTCTCTCTGATTTTCTGCTCCTTGGAGCAAGATTGTAATAACTGAAGCTACGGCATCTTGGTCATCGTGGTCCATGAGATCAATCTGAAAATTAAAATCACATTGGGCAGAGAAAAGAAACAGAAGGAACAAGAGTACATGATCACTTTGTGTAGCTGCAGCATCACCCTTTCCCTGGACTTCTTATACATGAGAGAATAGGTATTTGTGTGTTTTAAAACATTTATGTCTCAAACACACATTACAATAGCCAAACTCAAAACGTAACTGATCTATACTGGCTCTCATTTAAATATGTATTTCCAGTACTTATAACGGTACTTAGCAACAGTAAGTATTTAATAAAGGTTAGATTAATTAATTAATGTATGGCTTTAAGCCAAATATAAATGACTTGATTTATCTATTATTTTACATTTTTGGAAATACTGATTCATACAATCCAATTGCCTTCCATTAGAATCTTAATCCATGGTTCATTGTACTATAGAAAATGCCTAAGGTCAGAAATTTCATGTATAAAATTTTGAGTTCTAAGTTCGAATACATACAAGATGGACTAAATGGCTGGTATCATGACTTACAAAAATGTCATGATCTTTGCTGGGCACAGTGGCTCATGCCTATAATCCCAACACTTTGGGAGGCTGAGGAAGAAAGATCACCTGAAGCCAGGAGTTTAAGACCAGCCTGGGCAACATAGTAAGACTCTGTCCCTACAATTTTTTTTTTTAATTAGACAGGCAGGGTGGCATGTGACTGTAATACCAGCTATTCTAGGGGCTAAGGTGAGAGGATTGCTTGAACCTAGGAAATTGAGGCTGCAGTGAGCCATGATCGTGGCACTGCACTCCAGCCTGGGCAACGGAGCAACACCCTGTCTCAAAAAAAAAAAAAAAAAAAAAAAAAAAAAAAAGTCATGATCTTGACGGAACTTATGCTGAGAAATGAAATTTATATATTTTTATCTTTTACTTCAAAAAAAGATTAAATAGAATAATTACCTAAAGATAAGAAAAATATGGGATCTTTATTTACTTTTTCTAAAAATAATAGTATTCAACATGGAAAGCCAGTGAATTAAAGTTGACCTGTCTCTATTTGCTTCTTTTGCTAGAGACCTTCTCAAGAGCATGCAAAGTATTCTTTTTAGCTAACTTTTGGCAAATGTGCAATAGACCAGAAACAAATTTTACAGGAGGAGCTCAATCTTGTGTGTTTGCTATTTTCAATGGGTAATTTAGTTCCAGCATGAGAATTGTTTCAGAAAATAAGCACTAATAGGAATATGAACAGTGGATATAAAAATTAATATGAAACATGCAATCTATTTACCTTTTCTATTCTATTTCTTGTTCTCTCTTTTTTCTAAAAGCCTGGCTTTGTCTTTTAAAGGCTTCCCTTGTATTATTGAGAAAGGTATAGGAATGAGATGGGATACAGAGTACAGTTGGAAAATTGGTTTAGATACAAGGGAGAGACACCTGAGACAAAGGAGGTAGAGCTTGACAGCAAAGGTGATGAACATGTAGCTGTACGATAAGAAGATGGTAAGAGACTTCTGAGCTGATGTCTGTTTTCTATGGAGGAATATTGTCCATCAGATCAAGTGTGTGGTTTGGTGATATTAAAATCTTAAATTTCTTTCTTGACATTTTTGTCCGCATGATCTATCCTGATAGAAGTTTGTGAAATTCTTAACTATTGATGATGGAATTGCAAATTTTCTTCATAATCTGTAAATATTTGTGTTATATACTTAAAAGCTATTTCCTAATACTACAGGCCTGCCTTCTTTTTTAGCACCATAAATTAGACAGTTTATCATATATTTTATACAATCAACCTATGTTTGGATATCCTATATTCCTTCCTACATCAGAGACTTTCATTATGAGATCATTTTCTTTAATACTGAAGTTTATTGTATGCGGGACCTAGTTTGTCTGCCAGCTCAGATTTGCTTGGTTCATTTCCTTTCTGTCCTTTGCCTTTTGTTAAATTGAAAGACCCTGCCATATATCTGCTGCTTTCACCTAATCACCTGAGAGCTATGTCTATGTGAACCTTTCTGGGGAGAGAAACCAGGAGCATACAGTCATTTGATCAACATTCTTCTATAGGATACTCCAGAATCTAGTGCAGAGGTCTGATTTGACATGATTCACGCAGTCTACATCTACTTCCTCCACTCTGGGCTCACTTATTGTGCTTTCTTTCATATTTGGCTTCTGGATTCTGGAAACTTTCCTCACTTTATGATTATACACACACACACACACACACACACACACACACTTCACTACTATATACTTAGATAATACATTTTCTTCAAGGACAGTTTTTCGTAACAGCAAATGTAGACGATATGGCTCTAAAGACAAATTATCTAACTTACATTATTCAATTTTCAAATTTTGACAATGCGAATATATTACTTCAATAATCAGGAATACCAAAAATAATTTCCAAAAAGAGAAACAAAATTATAGCATTATCAAATTATATCCAAAATAACATCTTATTCCTAATATACTTTGAATTTTAAATACTTATATTTGGCTCAAGAAAATATTGGTCTCTCTAACAGTATAAAATAGATGGTTTTTGCAGTGAAGCTTGATTTGTGAATACTTTGCACTTGCTAGATTTGAATTTAAAAATAGCTAATATAGAAATAAAATGTTTTCAAAATATAATGAATAACTAAATATACTTTTTCTAATATTAAATAATGTCCCCTAGTTAAATTGTTTCTTTATATATAAATAAATCATAATTTATCTCTATCTCATCTTTTAAGAAACTAATGTGAGAATATTCTACCATAATTATTCAAATCAATAATAAATATAATTTAGCATAGGCAAATGAGGTTAGAGATTATGAAGAGAAATTAATAACATATGCAGATGATACTTCATAATATAGCTTATCTGGGGAATATTTTAGATTAGAAGTTTTCATTGCTCTAGAGGTCCGTAACAGCATTAAAATACATTTCTTGATTATAAAGTAATTACATTTTTTCAGCACCATGGAAACACTTTACTGAAAATGTAGAAATGAGAGGGAATTAAAATGCTTATAACATGTACCCAAGTACTTCTGAATTACCAAAAGGCAATCACTGACTCCAAATAATCAACTGAAAAAAAAAACAGAAAATGTATGAATAATATTATAAGTAAATATAATTATTGGGATGATGGCTTTTATAAAAATAATTGTGTGAGAATACATATTTTATAATAATAAAAAGGTAATATGTACTAATATATTTCAAAGCCATATTTCACTAATAGATTGGAGATCTCTAGAGTAGAAATCAGGAATCTACATGCACCAAAGCAACTTGATGATTCCATGTGAACCAAAGTTGAAATTGACTGGTTGAGAATAATATTGTGTACACGGCTCTATACCTTGAGTTTAGGATTTAGAGTTTACATTTCCATCAGTGGGTGACCACTGAAAGGTTTTAAACAGAGAATGAATGTCTGCTTCAAAATGACCTCTGTGTCTATAGTATGGAAGCAAGGAGCACAGAACGGATAGTGATGAGCGAATGTAAGAATGCCAATTAAAAAGCTACTGCAGTAAGTGTTGGAGATTTCATGTATAACATGGTGACTATAGCTAATAATATTGTATTATTATTTATATTTATACTTTGCTAAGGGAGTTGATCTTGAATGTTCTCACCACAGAAAAAGATAATTATGTGATGTGATGGATGTGTTAATTAGCTTGACTGTGGTAATCATTTGGCAGTGTATATTTACGTATATGAAATCATCACATTGTATAGCTCGAGTACTTACAATTTTTATTTGTCAATCACACTTTAATCAAGGTGGTGGTGGGGGGTTTACTGCAAACTCTTTCATGCAGAATTCCAAGTAATTTATATAGATACTCTTCCTTCAAGAAGGTGGGGCATAACTCCCCACCCTTCATGGGTGGGATGTGCATAGTGACTTCTGAGTAGTGTGGAAAAGAGGGGAAAAGATGAGTACATTGACAATGAAGAAACCCAATGAACACCACGTGACCAAGATTAACAACAATAGTGATGTCTTATTTTGATAGCATGTACTTTTGAAAGGTTGTGATGAGAAGAGCATTTTCCTTCTACACTCTTCTCCCCAGAAACCCACGGTTTCTGTTGAATCATTAGGAAAAATCAGATAAATCCCAATGTAAGTGATCTGACCAGTACTCCTGAAAACTCTCAAAGTTGTCAAAAATGAGTGAAGTTTGAGCAACTCTGATAGCCAAAGTGATTAAAAGGAATGACAGACTTGCAGAAGAGTTGATAAAGGAGTAAAGTGAGGAATGCTAGGGGCAGTGAAGAAAAATCTGAGGTGCTAGATGAAAGCCACAACTTTTAATTAACACCAATCTCAATTATTCCCTTGTCCTCTCTCACAATGCTCAGCCACTCAGTGAGCTCGGAACTGTCATGAAAGAGGCAGTATATTCCGTTTAAAGATGATTTGGGCAATGAATTTGAAAATAAAAAACTCACCAAGCTATTCTCATGAGAAATGCATAGACTGAAAACATAAATGCTGAATAAACATCAAGGTGAAAAGTGGGCATACAAAGAAGTCAATTAAGAGGTTAGGCCAAATGATAAGCCAGAATTAAAAACATCTAATGAATCTGCCATGGAAAGACAGATTGGGAAGAGGGAAGAATCTCCAAAATTATTAAAATATTCAAAATAGCTTAGAAACTACTAAAACTGAAAAAAAAAGAAAGGCTTGAATGAAGGGACATTGTGTTCTAACAAAAAGGTAGTTTGCTACCTTTTTATTAGTTTGCTACCTATTTATTGCTATATAATAGCAATAAATTGATTGTGGATTTCTCTTTTACTGAAAATACTTCCTATTCAGCAATATAACCAGAATGTAGTATGCCTGCGGGTGAACAGTTTCTCTAATTTAGAACTTGGGATCTGCCCATGCCTAGCCCTAAAACCTAATTTATTAAAACTCTGACTTCAAGGATGATTCATACTTGGCTTGTTCTCAGCTCCTCAAATCTGCCCTGAGGCCTCTGCTCTGAAGTCTCTTCTGGGTACAGAGAAGTATCCTTCTGGGAGTCCTTCTCTTATTTTTCTCCTAAAATTTTATCAACAGAGAGAATTGTGGTTGAGTCTAAGTGCATTCAATGACATTTGTGAATAAATTGCTTGACCGATTACATCACTTCCCTTCCGTCTTTGTTCTGTTCTCCTCAACCCCTTGTTATGTGGCCACTAAGATTTCTGGTATCTCATATAGGTAGAACACGTCTTTTTTCCATAGGAACCTGTAGTTCTCTGTTTCATTCAAATTAAGCCAATTCTCAACATTGCCAGATGATCTTTCAAGTTTACTCAGCGATTCTCAGTCCCAGTTGCACATTAATAAAGATCTGGAAGACTTAAAAACACTGATGAAGTTACCCAGGCAACATCCCCATAAATTCTGATTTAATTATGTTGGGGTAGGGGCAAGGCATTTTTTTTTTTTTATTTAAAGAGCAGACAAGGCTTTATGATATACAGTTAGAATTGAAAACCACTGAGTTACAGGTGCTAGTAGAATAGAGGCAGTAATTCTTGGCTTTCTGTACTGTCATTTAATCTCTGCTGTTTCCCTACCAGGCTTTCCTTAACTCAACCTCCCCAGCCCTTATTGACTCCAGTAACATTTCTTCAGAATTTCTACCTCAGACCCAAATATTTGTCTTCCATTTTTGGTTCTACACTCCTACAACTTTCTCTTCTAGGAGCAGATGCACTAAATCTGGTGCCCATTGACGTGAAAGGAGTAGTATGATGAAAAGGACAAGACTGTGAAGCCTAGCAAGTATCTTGAATGCATCAGTACATTTTCCACATCTCTCTCTAAATAGAGGAAAGCTCTCATTGCCCTAAGAATTTATATTTATGTGCCAATTTCAGGACGGTGTTTCTTAAATTTTCCTAATCTATTGAACACATATATTGTAATATGCACCTAGCTTCCCATTATACATACAGTTTAAAAGAATGCATCCTCTCAATTTCAATCTCAAGAGTAATAAACATAATTTACTTCTGACTTTAAAGTTGTATACCAAGAACCATGAGGGCTCCCGTTAGGTCATTCTCCAAATGCTTGTGCCACAACTCTAACATCTTAGTCATTACGGTATATTGTACTGTTGGCTTTCCTCAATGATGATTTAATCAGAGGAGCAGTTGGATATTGTACCTGAGATTCAGAATTTCTGATGATGGATCTCCAAGTATAGCCTGAGTATTACTGGGTTTCTTTGAGTCAGCTATGCTATCATTCAGTCCCTGCCTGGATGCCATCTCCTGCCATGCTGCCAGCAAGGGGAAATACAAGTAAGACCAAGTTTCAAATGTGTGAAGAGTAATGTGAAGAAAATTACAGTTTCTTGAGCAGATAGGAAGAACCAAGCTCAAGTTGTGTGTGGAAGGAAGAGCATTACATGATATATCCTACAACAAAACGTTCTAAATTATTTTTAAATATCTCTAACAGTGGTGATATATCTACTAATGCTCATAGAAAAATGCCCAGATGGTTACTTCCAGGGCCTCTTTCTTTAGAAGGTGCCTTTCCTTCATGGTATTTATATGTCATCAAGCTCCAACTTCCTACCTCCTTTTTAGAGCTATTTGAAAAGTGTGTTGTCCACAGGCAAAGACAGAGTTAGATGATGGAGAGAGATGGGACAAAAAGATAATGGGGTTTCAGGCCTCTCTGGACGACCAATGAGAAACTCTTATGGGTTGTGTTAGTCCTGTTTCTCCTTCTCTACTCTACACTAATTACAGCAGTGATCAGCTCTGGGGAAAATATTTAAAGATTTTCCTTAAGATCAACCTTTCTCAACAGGAGAGGAATGAAGTATTGTAAGTGTTTAAAACATAATATTTTCCCTGTCATGATTAGTCATGCCATTCAAAACTTTTGAAGGTTCTTAAATTGGCAAATGGCATGATGAAAATAATGTTTGAGGAAGACAACATCTTCACAGCAAACACTTATGTCACTGACTGATTGCAACCGGAGGGAGGACAAGTAGTTAAAAAACTGTAACTGCAGCTTAAGTACAAGATGATTAAGTAAAATTAATAGTTTAGGGTTTGAATACATATGAGAGAGAATTTGACTTTGAGAGATAGTACATAGAGGAAGAAAATCTTATAAAAACAAACAAATAAAAGAACTTCCAGATTTAAAATGATATCTACATGGAGGAAAAAAAGAAAGGAATCAAAATAACTTCAGTGTGTCTAGACTTACAAGTGATACCATGGTGGTGGATATAATTATCACAAAGCAGTCCTAACCACTGTTTCTCTGAATAGCTTTGACAGTTCTGTCTCACAGTTGGCACTCAGCTTCCATGACTACAACACCCATAAGCCTTCTCTCTGCATCTAAATATTCCATCTGGTACACTAAAACTGGATGACATACAAATGTATATACTTCAAATGAATGAAAGATATCTCACTAAGAGAAAGCTATGGGATTATTTTTCTCTCTTTTCTTACATTTAAGCTCAATTAAGAAGCAATTTTCCCCCTTCTGAGTCATGGTCTTTTATCTTCTCTTCTTCACAGGTATATTGTTGTATTTTTCTCCTTCATACTAAGATGATGGTACAGAATACTGATGAGATAATGCTTACTTTAAAACTGCTCATTTCTTTGAGCACGAAAAACCTGATCTGCATTTTAACAGATGTTCCACTGGTCTGACTTCAGCCTTATGGGGGTTATAGGTAGTCCCACAGCAAAAGGAAGAAAATAAAGATTTCACACTCTAGGTTCTTCTGGATTGGCAAAGGATGAGTTGGAAAACAAACTACTGTACATCAAAAGCAACTGCTGGAGGCTATAGGATTTGTATATTATTCCCAAATTATTTTATCTATATAACAATAGGTCCAATTCTCAGGACAATTACTGTTCAACAAATACTTTTTTGAGGAGTGGAGAAGAAAGGAAAATACATTATATATGGGAACAGGATTGGTCTTTATTTCATTTTTTTAGAAATGTGCAGATAACTAGTGGGACAACACCTGTATTAAAATAATAGTGGCATGCCCCAGTATGAGAAATTCTGCAGCTCTTTTGAAATTGGCATTTCAAGCACTGTGGAAATTTTTTCTTCAGTGGGCCTCTATTATTTTCAGAATTTGAATCAAATTGATGCAGAAGGGTAGTTTTATAACAGTGTCACATTAGAAACTTCCAAAATATATATAGATTATTTCACTGGTGTGATATGATTTGCAAACATCTATCACTTTTGTTGAATTTAAAATGTGTTTACAATTGAAAAGAGAATGTATAATTTCCAAAGAAATTAGCATTTGCCTAACTGTTATGATTCAAACATTTTGATAGCAATGGCCATTTTACTGTCTGAAATCTTTCTGGTATCCCCAAGAACTGACAGAAGAAGCATAAATAGTAGGTTTGTGTTGGTTCTGCTGTGAGAAACCCACTAGAGGAAACAGAGTGAGACAGCCTGTCCTCATCTAAGGAAGCGGTGATTAGACAACAAAGTGAGATCCAGTTATAGGCAAGAGCTGAGTAGACAAAAACAGATGTGGTGGTAATTAACATCAGCCACTAATAAGTCTGTACACTTGCTGTTTTAGGAGCTCTCCTATTAAGATGTGAGATCCAGAAATAAGGGATAATGGATCACGATTTTTTTAAATTTCTTACAGCACCTAACGTATTATATTCAGCTTGAAACACTCACATAAGTAATTAATTGAATAAAATTTACCATCTCACTCTTGATTAGACATAATTATATCCACCCATCATCCTCAGCATACTGCATGTGTCCAAACATGCACTCGCACACACACACACACACACACACACACACACACACACACACACACAGACCGACACATTTGGATGAAGTTAGCCTTGGATGGGGGAAGGAAGATATGATAGAGGACATAGGCATCAGTTATCTAGGAATGTAGCCAAGACATACAGGGCCCAGAGCACCTCGAAGATACTAATTGCAGTTTGGCATGCTTCACATGCTTCACAACTATTCCCTGAGTCATTTATGCTTTTGGAAACTTTAGATAGAATATTGTAATAATGTAATTTGTTTATATATTTCCAAGCGATAGCAATGAGAAGTATGGTGCATATCTATCTATCTATATATATAAAAATATGTAAAATTTCAGTTCATTTATTTATCCAACAAGTACTATATGCATACTATTTATGAGGCACTGAAGAAACAAAAATGAATAAGATGTTGCCCCTTACACCAAAATACTTTAAGTAGAAGTAAATAGGAATTTGCAATATGGACTTAATCTAGTCTTGAAGAATTATTTTTCTTCAAATGTGGATACATATAGACTTATAATTTTTTATAATGTGCCTCTCATCACTTTTAATTAAGCATTGAGCTTGCAGATGTCAATTTAAATGGTGAATGTTGCCATAGTAGAGCATATCTATCAAGGGGAAAATTACCCTGAAAAAATTTCTCCATGTTGCTATTGACATTCTATGATAACTCTGAAGTCTCATATATCCCTGATAATATTTCATCACAGTATAGAACAATAGACTCTCATACCTAGAAGGAAATCAGAAAATAATTAATTCAATTTACTCATTTCACAGAAGAAAAAACTTAGATTCAGAAGGTTATATTCGCTGGCCAAGAGCAAGAAGTTGTTAGTGGCATGGTTAAAAGTAATGACCCATTCTTCACACACAAAGGTACATATGATTTAAATCTCACAGTCATTTCTAAAAGAATGAATGACACAGAATTAAATTAAAGGCATAATATGATTATGCTCATTAATACAAATGGATTCCACTTTTATTGAATGTCAAAACATCAATGCTTTTCTTTGCTGAGTTTGCAGCCTAAATCAAACCAGAAACAATTAAATTGACTTAAAATATTTCATGAAAGATTAATTATAAACATGTTTATTTGATATTTTCTCTTACAAATTTTATATTTCTATTTCTGGCAATATAAGCTTGTGATAAAACAAAGACATAAAGGTCACTAATAGAAACCCAGTGACCCTAGGAAAAATTAAATCATAACATAGATAGTACATTAGATGAAGACATTACATGAAAATTAATATGACCACATTTTATTTGTTTAGCACCATAGTATCAATTAGGTGCTAGAGATGACATTAAGCATGTTAAAAATATTATCACATTAGACCTGCAACAAAAATTGAATTCCAATATAGATTTAAAAACAAGGAGGTCTGTACATATAATTAATCTGTACCTTAAACAACAATATTACTCTTATTGAAAATATAAGTTAGAAATAAAACAATAAATGAGGGGAGGGTAAAGCTATTACATTCTAGAAAAGAGTTGAGCCCTCCTTTTCCCACCCACAAAATGAGTATTTTGGTCTTGATGAGCCCTATAAAATGCATATGCAGAGTATGGAACAGCAGGAGAGCTCCTGTCTGGTGGGTGGGTATGACTCTACGGTAGCAGGATACACACACACACACACACACACACACACACACACATAATGCATTATTTATTAGGCTTTCCTATTTGTGCCCTTTATGCATTAAGATGATCAAATTCACTCCCCTAAGTTCTCATTCTGTACTTATTGTGCAAACAGCTACAAACAGGACGATCTGTTCAGGAAATGCAAATATTTATAATTTGGATATGTAATCTTATACAAATAAACTAGCACTTTATGCATTATTATTTCATTTTCCATTATTTGATTCCTTAGAAAAATATTTTTTGACTTTTGACTGTCTAGGAACTCTCAGATGTCAGTGACATGGAAATGAAGATATGTGTCCCCCTATACACAAAGTAGGCTTACCTAACAGGAGAGGCAGGCAAGGCTAACAACAAATAAACTAATAACAAAAGAAGTTGATTGTTGTAGGAAAATTATATATGGAATGCAGTTTGGCACACAGGAAGTAGTCCAAAGTCATGGAATCATTTGCACTAGAGCTACTATTTGAGCTGAGTCTGGAAGAATTTAACACAGTTTGTCAGGAGAACACTTAGGAAAGATATTTCAGTTAGAGAAAAGAGTTTGTGAAGGAATGAATGCCTGAGTTAGCAGAAACTACAAATAGTTGAATTTTCTCAGAGGATCTCTTGTGATTTGATAAGCATTTTAGGTCCTGTGTAACTTATTACATTTGGCTATAGCAACCAAATTATGTTTTTGGACCTTAAAGCAATAATTTAGCCCCTAAACCATCAGGGCCACCAGCAGAACTACATCCTGTGATGCTGAGCTTGGACATCAGCTGGTGCCTAAAGATAAATCTAGTCTTGGTTTCTTCCTAACTGCTGCAAACACCGCTTTTAAGTTACTGATAGATAAATAGAGGCACTCTCTTAAAAGAAGAATTATACCCTTCTATCAAAATTGTCTACTAAAAACATATTGACCAAAACAACCAAGACTGACTTTTATACCTTTTATATATTTTTGGCAAGAAAGACAATAATGATATATTAGGCTTTTATTCAAACTATTTAACCTCTCTCTCTCTCTCTCTCTCACACACACACACACACACACATATACACACACAAACACACTTCCCAGGTTACATTGATAACTTCCAGGGTTTATCGGGTGTTGCTTTGTTCATTTATTCATGAAAATAGAAATGCCCATAGGCAATAGTATGTAGTGGTCGTGAAGGGGAAAGCACAAAGAAGAAATTTTGGCCCAGCGTTCATGACACTTGGCTAGGATTAGTATATACGTGGCTTCATTTTATACTCTAGTGAATCCTAGATAGGGCCAGAGAGTAGACTACATGAATCATGAATGTCAGCCTGTCTTTTTTTTTTTTTGGCATTACACCATGAAATATTGGCATAATAATTTTATAATATAAATTTAAAACTAATTTTACTAGTAGAAAATAAACACCACTTTAACATTTGGATGCAAAATAAATAATTATATGAGTAGAAATAACAGGGTTATCAAACTTACCATGATCAGCTATTTCCAAGTAATTCTGTTGAAATCCATTTGCTACATGTTTATTCATTTTGTCACCTGCTCTTACTTTAAAGCAGCTGCCAAAGGTTTAAGAAAAGCTAAGCTAAGAAAATATTAAAATTGAGAAAACTTTATCCATTTTTTTTCTTAGAAACTATTGGGAAGACCCTTGTATGAATTAATTCACTTTGCTCAACCTAGCAGAATGCTAGTGTTATTAGTGTCCCAATATTAGAAATTTGTTATTTTATGTCTATAGTATTATATTAAAATTACTTTTCAATATCATTAATTAAAACTTTTACTGATACTAATCACAATTCCTCATATATTTTTGTTTAAACAAAATTTTCAGTAAATATTTAGAAATATGTTATGCTTCCATTTCTGGAGTGGATCACAGAAATTATGCTTATGTTTCTTAAATATATGGAATTACATTAAGCCTTATTCAAACATCATGCTATAAGCAATGCCATTTACATAACTAGGTTCTTTCAGGACAATAACAACAAAAAAGTTTCAATCATCAATCAAACTCCATCCAACCTTGCTGATATGTATGTAAGCAACCACATTTAACATGGTCATGGAAAGTATATATGGCTCCACTCACATACACATTGAATAGAAGATATTTTGTGATACCTTCTCAATTTCTTCTTATTCCTTTTAGAGGAACCAATTTGGAATATAACATTATTTGCAAATAAATATATCTAATATAGTCTTCTGAATTTACTCTATTATTTCCTTCTCTCCCAAATTATTACAGAGTCTCAGTGAGGTACAAGAAACGCAGAGTGGCTTTTTTCATGAAACTTACAAACTGGGAGGGAAAATGGATCTCAGACAATTAAGAATTTATTATTATACTTATGAAAACAAATATATAAAGGAATTGCAACAAAGCAAAATAATACTGAGGGTTTCAGTCAAAGGAATCATAATGAAGCTTAATCAATTTAAATCAAAAATAGTTTCTGGACTTTGCCTTTATGCCTATTTCTTTATAGCTTAATTATCAGGTTTATTTACAGCAAACTCATGTTTCCTGGCAAATATATCAGATACAATTTAATTTACAAATAAAGAGTTTAAAACATACTTTTTTCAGATTTAATGTGTATATATGTTGTATATGAATACAAACACACACACACACACATATTCAAAATGGTAAGACAAAATTATACGTCTTGCTTTCCCCCCATATTTTTCTTAGATTTCCTGTCAAAACCTTTCACAAGTTTTGGTAGCATAAAAACTTGTCATGGAAAAAAATTATTTCATCTATTGTCAAGATAGGGTTAAACAACATCATATTCATTAAAGAAAATGAAGAAGCACTTCATTCATATTTCTGACTAAAAGACATAGGATCAACTAGATCATTTTTTAACATTTATGCTATTTTTACCCAGTAACTCTAAGTTTTCAGAGAGGCTATGTGATTAAAAAATTGTTTAAATCAATTTGTTATTTTAAATTGATTTTTTCATTAAAAACATTTTTAAATGGAATTTGACTAGATTCACCCTGAAAAGTCTATTGAAGGCTTAATATGTGAGAATAATAATTTAAAAATGTGAGTGGTAATATCATTGATTTTTTTTGTCATCGTGCTAAGCATTTGTGTACATAATTGTTTTCCCTTTGCTATCCTGTTACAGCCATACCTTTATTTTTACTATTTTGGTGATAACGAAATTGTACTTCAGATCATCCGAATGAGTTGACTAAGCCGTGCAGGTCATAGAAATCAGAATCGGGATATGACCTAAAATCCACATCTTTTAACATTTTATTATGTTATGCTACACAGTTATATTTTAAAACATTGGAGAAATGTATATGTACATATACATATTTTATTTCAATAATAGGAAAGCTACTAATTAAGGCACAGATGTGCTACTGGTAAATTACTAGAGACATTATTTATATCACATGATGTAAGATGTGTGTAATCAATAGCATTAAAAAAGCAAGGGCATATTGGGTTTTTTTTGTTTTTTGTTTTGTTTTTTGTTTTTTGTTTTTGAGACGGAGTCTCGCTCTGTCGCCCAGGCTGGAGTGCAGTGGCGCGATCTCGGCTCACTGCAAGCTCCGCCTCCCGGGTTCACGCCATTCTCCTGCCTCAGCCTCCCGAGTAGCTGGGACTACAGGAGCCTGCCATCACGCCCGGCTAATTTTTTTTTGTATTTTTAGTAGAGATGGGGTTTCACCATGTTAGCAAGGATGGTCTCGATCTCCTGACCTCGTGATCCGCCCGCCTCGGCCTCCCAAAGCGCTGGGATTACAGGCGTGAGCCACCGCGCCCGGCCACATTGGGGGTTAAATTGAGGGAATGAGAATGAGATGCTACTAATAGAAACAGTGAGAAAAATGTTTTAAAGAAAAATTAATTTTCAAGGTTTAAAGTAAAAAAAAAAAAATCTCAATAAGTAGATCAGAGGTACCAAGAGAGATTACTTGTGGGGAAAAGTAGATTTAAAAAATATATATATGAAGTGTGT
Source organism: Homo sapiens (assembly GCF_000001405.40). Lineage (NCBI taxonomy): Eukaryota > Metazoa > Chordata > Mammalia > Primates > Hominidae > Homo > Homo sapiens. The sequence continues at coordinate 93,936,677 of NC_000006.12, read as the reverse complement.
TTTTGGTAGTCAGGGTTTGAAAAAGGAGACTTACAGAAATGTTGAGTGAATGAAATTAGAATGGTGAATCTCAGGAACAATGTGGGAAAATTAAACAAACAAACAAAAGCTTCCAGGAATGAGTGTAGATACGTAAACGTATTTTAGAAATAGGAACATGAAGAAAAGAATAGGGCACAAAACAAGCTAGCAAAACGCCCTTCATTTTGCAGTAGTGTGTGCTCTCCAGTTGTCCCCACAAGTACTTCAGAAAGTGACTATAATTCACGTTTCTTGGGCTGGAAGTTGAGCCAGCTTCCATTTGTATACTGTTGCATTTCATTAAAAGTACTTTGGTTATTTAATACGATGTACTTGAAGGTATATTGCCTGATCTTTAATAGATTACAAACATGAGACAGAAACTTGACCCTCTAGACCTGGGAGTTATACACTGCATTATCCATAATCTGAGAAGATTTTTCTTTGCTTTGCTTCTCTATCTGAAGGGAAAAAAAATCAAAATAGCTTAAGGTTGCCTAGGGCTGGGAGTAGAAAGATGGGAAGTTGGGGAATGATTCCTATTTGGTAAAATGTTTCTGTTTGGGGTGATGAAAATCTAAGACTATGGTGATGATCACACAACTTGATAGATAAACTAAAAACCATTGAATTATAAACTTTGAGTAAATTTTATAGTATGCAAATTATATCTCAATAAAGCTGTAAAAATAAGAAAAGAAAAAGAAGCAACTCTAAATGTTTCAGGTCAAATGGTAATGAATTGAAAACTCAAAACATTCACTTGTTGGTGAGTGAATTTGCTTTTTTAAAAGCTGCCTAAGCTCATGACTCCAGGGAGAACATAATTAATGTTAATGGAGAAACCTCCTAGAAAATACAGCTCTCATTTCTCAAAAAGCTCTTTAGTGTTTCTTCTCTGCTATCAACTGGTCTTGAAATAATTGTCTCAAAATATAACTATAATCTACTTTCATGTAATTTTCTCTTAGCATAACATAAAAATGAAAAGTAAAGGACTTACAGGGAAATTTTCCAATATGATTACAGTTAACCTAATATTATGGATTTGGATTTTCTGATTGACTTTTCACCTCAATTAATTGTTTTCATAAATGTTTCATAAAGAAGTTTTAAAATATTTCTCCTCATTCAATATATATTAGACTGGCAGTCTTGTATATAAAGTAAGAAACCTATTCTCTTCCATCATGGTGTTTATGAAATAGAAAAAGGTTTAAAAAAGGTAAATATTTGAGTAATTAAATGATTCAATATAGCATTTGTTATCTAACTATAGTCTTTAAACATATATAATTTTATCTCCCAGTTTCACCTATTGATTTTAAATATGAATTTTTGGTACACACACATATATGTATGTAGAAACACACACATACAACTGGTAATACGTATTTTCATTGCAAACTGTTTTATAAGTTCAAATCCTTGTATAGAGTAAAACTTGATAATTAATTAATCAGGTTGGGATATGTAAAAACTATGTTACCAGACCCTCAGACCCCTTTAATAAATAAAAATTGGTTTGATTTGCAAGTGGGCACATAATATATCAGATAGAAAAATAGATAAAAATAAATTTCTGAAAGTTAGTATTGAATTTGTCTGTGCTTAGGTATTATTGAACAATACTTAGACTTTGAAGAAAAATAGCCTGGGCTTGAATCCAAGTTCTTTCTCATGTTAGCTACATAACCTCAAATAAACTGCTTAATTCCCCTTAGCCTCAGTTTCCTTATATGTAAAGTGGGAATAATGATTTTTCCTGAAAGTTGTGTTGTGATGATTAGATTAAATATTCTATAAAATATTTTCATCATATTATTATGCATAATATTTTCTAAATGTTTACTTATAGAAGCTGATTTGAAATTTAAATTTATCTAAAATATATTAGTGGTGTGGACAAAAATTTCTATCGATTAGCACAAACTGTTCCAAGAAATTTAGAATTAAATCCTGTCTTTTAGATATTCAATGAAATATAGTTTCCCTCTCAGAATTATAGCATTAAAATGGAGTCTTACATACAATACACTGAATTTTAAGTAAGCATTTGCATTATTCCCCAAAGTATTTATATTACTTAAAGAATTATGTTTGCTTGATAAATTTTATACCTAGTGGATTAACAATGCCAAAAATGGACCTCCGAGAAGTGCAGTCTAATTATTTTTCCCATTGAATCTGAACTGGACCTGTATCTTCCGCAGCAAAATATGACAGAAGTTATACTGTGCCAGTTCTGAGCCCATATGCTAAGAAGATCGTCAGCTTCCACTTCCCTCTTTTGCACCTTGGGTGCTATTCTGTGAAGAACCCCAAACAACCACATAGAGAGTCCTCTGGGATAGATAAGTCATGTTTCCAACTGACCGTTCCATTTAAACTGCCAGCTGAAGAGAGAACCAACTTTTCATCCATGTGAGTGAGCCATCTTCAAATTGTCCCTCCAGGTCCTGTTGAGCCTTCCCAAAAGATGCATGTGGAACAAGCATGACTTATTACCTCCAAGCCTTGACTAAAATGCAAAATCATGAGCAAATAAATTATTATTGTTGTTTTAAGCCACTGTATTTTGAGGTGCTTGATCACGCAACCATAGATAGCCAAAACTCCAACAAGAAAATAATCGGTATCTTCAGAGTTTAAAATATATGATGGAAAATTTTTTCTCCCTACTCCATTAAGAATCTGTGAATACTGCTAATAAAGCATTTACCAAGTTTTATCATAATCACTTACCTATAACTACATTTTCACTAATTAACCTGAGTCCTTCTAAAGACATTAGTTTTGTTCCCTTATAACTTAAATAGTGTCTGGTGCCTGGCAAATATGTAATGAATGCTTATTGAAAAAAAAAAAAGAATAAATGAGTGAATGGTTTCATAAGAATTATAGCCTTCTTTATTATTTTAGGAATAAAAACTGTTAACACTGATTGTTACACCTGGAAAGCATATATTGATAAATCAGAATAAAAGCATTCAGTTAGAGAAAAGGATACTGACCATGTATCCTTATGGAAGCAAGATCTTAATTTATAATACAGGTATTAGAAGAAACTAAACTTAAAGGAACATAGATCTTTTAGAAAAATAAAGCTAACTATAGTTCTCTTTTCCTAGTGTCATCTTACAAAATATTCATTTTAAGCAACGAATATCAAATTTTGGGGGATTTCCATGATCTTTAAAACAACAACAACTAGCACCTTATAATTAACAGCAAAGAGCCTGTGTACTGAGTTATCATAATGTACAGTCATTCCGTTAAATGCATACAACCGTGTGGTGTGAGGTGGGAATAATTAGACACCAGATGGTGATATCAACTCCAATAGAGAATGCCTGTGCATTATGCATGAGAAATGACTTTATTGTTGTTTTTATCCATTTGGTACCATTATGCTGCTCTTGGACCTCAATCCATGTCTCAAAGAAAAAAAAAATTCTTTGGATCTGGAATTTTTCTGTTCTGAACAATCTGTAACATCACTTTGTCAGATTCTGATCTCTCTACTCAACTTGCAGAATTTCTAAGAGCATATTATTTTCTGGCAGCACCATAGAACTGAGTTTTTCCATTATCCAAAGCATCTGAGCTTACTGGATATAATTTTATGTTTCTGCCAGCAGAATATAGTTTAAGATTAGTATCTTTGAAAATTGAATATGATTTTTAATGATTGTAGTGTCATATTTCTGGGCTGAGGTACTTTAAAAATGTCATTAGTAGATATGTGATTAATCACTTTGTGTCTTTTGACCACTAAAAATATCTTTTATTTTCATTATAGACGTAAAGAATTTGAAAGTAGAAAAAAGTTAGAATATACAGTGATTAGACCGTAGATTTCATTAATATTATTAATTCTTCAGTGGAGAGCTCAACAAAATGGTTGTTTATCTTGATTCATTTTTGAAAATGGCAGCTTTTAAGGAGGTTTAAAGATGCTGTATCAGAATTCAAGGACAAGTTTCCTTCTAATACTCAGGCCCCTTTTGATTGGTTCTGTGACCCCTAGCTCTGGAAATAAGGCAGTTAGTGCTCAATAAATATTTTAAGTAATGGTCCTGATAGAGTACGTAGTTGTATCAGGCAAGACTTTTATCAGAAAAGCACAACCATTAGGGAAGATATAAATATATGGAACTTGTAATATAAATTTTACCTTATGACTTTTGGGAACTGGTTAAACATTTTATGTTAGTCTGTTGCTTCAGCACCTGGTGGTTAACCTGAGGTTAGCAGAGCAGGCAGTTGGGAAGGAAAGAAGAACATGAAGCCAGGGAGAGCAAGGTCATACTGGAATCCATGAAAAGAAGCTGGGACCTGGACTGATTGGTCACTGCCTCCAAGCCTCCAGTTTCAATGATGCCATTGACTTGCAGGGAAGGCTGATGCACATCATCATGGAGCTAAACACACACACGGATCAGGAGTTAGAGAAGCTGGAGGAGGAAATTTGGAAGAATCTAGAGATGTTGCAGGGCATGCTTGTGGCCATACAAAGAAGGTGAGCTAATAAGATTAGTACCAAAATCTGTTGCCTGCAATAGTGCCTGGTGCTCTGCACCCAAATTCCCATATTGTTGACATCTGACATTACTATAGTAAATTTGTCACAATTAACGAACCAATATTAATATATTATTATTAAAGTCCATATTTCAAATGTCCTTGATTTTTACCTAATGTATTTTTTTCAAGACATTATCCAGGACACTATATTGCATTTACTCATCATGTCTCCTTAGGCTGTTTGTGGCACAACAGTTAATCAGACTTCCCTTGTTTTTAACGACCTTGACAATATCAGAAAGTATTGGTCAGGCCTTTTGCAGAATGTCCCTTCACTGGTATTTGTTTGATGTTTTTGTCATAATTAGACTGGAGTAAGAATCACATCTTAGAAATCACCCTAATCTCACCACTGCAACTTTGCTCCCATTAGCATTTTGCAGATTTCCTTCCTTTAATACCCAAAATTTGGAAAACCGGCATAATGTGTTTTGCATTCTTTCTATGACATTATATTTTAGTTCCTTCCGTGCTGTTAGGAGGGTTTTGGTTGCTGCATAATATCCCTATATACAAATAGCATGTATTTACAAAGTAGTTTTAGCTGCTATAGCAAAAGAAGCCAAAGTTAACAGTGACTTAAATAAGATAGACTTTTATTTATCTCTCATATAAAAGTCTTAGTAGGTAGCCCATGACTTTTCTGCAGCACCAAAACTATCAGGGACCCAAAATCCATTTAATGTGTCCCTCTGTCATGTAGTTTTCTATCTTATGGATCAGGATGGTTGTTCCAGCTCCTGCTACCAAGCCCATGTCACAGTAAGAACAGAGGGGTAGTAGAGAGCTACGCTTCATCTTTAAGCCCTCAGATATTGCATATATATTTTATTGTTATACTTAATTAGCTTGATCTAAGTCATAACTACTTTAGCTGAAAGAAAGGCTCATCAAAGTTATAGTCTTTAGGTGGACACATATCTAGTCAATATCTGGGGGTTGCTGTGATAAAGGAAATAAGAGAGAATAGATCATTAGGCAATATCAACAATATCAACATAGATATTTCTTTTACTCTTGAGATTTAAAAAATAGCTACTTAATTAATGATGCTATGTTAAACACTTTTAAACAAGATATTCTGTCTACATTCCTAATTTTCTGAAAATTATTAAAGCTATGATTATATTAGAGACCTTGATAAATATTTCAACATTGCTTTTTAGAAATTTTGGGCCAAGATGACATCTTGTTAGTACTGTAAATCCATCAACATTATTTTAATTCTCTAATTACTTTGGTGAGTCTAGCAAAGTACCTGTATATAATTATCAACTTATTTTGCATGATTTTAATAATTCAAACATTTGCATATTTTTTAATTTTTAACCATTTGATTTTCATATTTTTATGTTTTGCTCATTTTTTTCTTTTAGAATTTTTATGTTGATTTGTAAAAGTTCTTATGTATATAACTTGAGAAATATATAAATCATATGCTTATACACTGGCATAATGTTAAAGAAGTCAACTTGGCAATATTTATCAAGAACAGTAGAATAGTCATAGATATGATATATTATTATTTCCAATTCTAGTGATTTATTCCATAAAATACATCAGAGTGTGAATGAAACTTTATGTGCAGTATTGGTAATAAAATGAACCTAGTGAAAACCCTTTTGTTAACAGTAGAGAAATTGACAAATTATAGAACTCTGTATATTGGTTGATTCTATTTACAAGATGTTTACAAAAGTTAGTGCATGTAATAGAAACATGCTTATGATGCAATATCAAATGAAAATGTGCATTAGGAATCTCCGGGAATTCGATATAATGTGCAGAACTTCATAAACTAAATTTAATACAAACTTCTTTTCTTATAGAATATTTTGAGGACCAGTATTATGCAGAACACACTTAGTGAAATAATAACCTGCCTTATCAACATCCTTATTAAGGTCTGTTACTACAGCACAGACAATTGAGGAAAGATATAAAAGAGTTTCAATGGCTGATACACACAGTAAACTGTCAAAATCTTCTTAGCCTATATAGGTTATAACTAAAAACCAAGGTCGTATTTCACAGCCAATAATATATTACCGTGCTTTCTGTTCACTTAGTCGTACTTAACAAATTGATATTTTGAATTCCTGTGATGAGGGATAGTAATGTCCTCTCCTACGTATTTTAGAACCATCTGTCTGTCTTCTGGATTAAAGAGTAAAGCATAAGAAGATTAGGTTACTCTTCTGTAGTAAGTAGTAAGTTTTATAATCTATGACCTAGGTTAAAATGCTCTACAAAGTATAAATATAAGAATGTGTGTGTGTGTGTGTGTGTGAAGATATGTGTGTGTGAATCCAGATATATGAATATTGGAAAAAGATTTCTCTTGATCCTAATAAGTGACCAACTACTCCTCTGTAAATATCGAATTTATTTACAGAATTTATAATTGATATCCAGAAGAATACATTATGTCATTAAAGATAATATAAAAAAGAAATAACTAGGCTTCACTAGAATTATCTTTTCATAATTTTGAAGTCTATCACCTCCTTACTGAAATATCTGAAATTGAAGATATTAGCAACAATTATAGTTAAATAACATTAAAAATGACAGTACTCCATTTACACTTGGATCTATTCAAACTGTAAACTGCAACTCACAGTATGATTTTCATTTATGAAAAACCTGCCTTCTTAGTTGACACAAAATGTGGACTTTAGATTACGATAAATTAATCAAATGATTTCTTCAGAATATTCCATTTTTCAAATTAATGAGCTTTTACGGTAGTAATGTTCAGGGAGGAAAAAAGGTCCCCAGAGAATAAAACCACCTAAGGGTATTTATGTGTAGAAGACCATTTATTGTCCATTTATTTATGCACATGTGAGTTTATATTTTTCATGCTGGAATAATTTTCAGCATAATTGTTAAATGTTCACTAAAGAAGGAGATAGTGGATATATAAAAACATGGGACATCAAATACCCTCGACAGTATTTTTTAGAATCATACTGCGCCTTGACTATTTTTCTGAATAGCTGTTTGATTTTTCTATCACTTATCACTACATGTATTTTTTTCTGTCTGATACTTTACCATTGTCATCTTTATCCTTCTACCTTTATAGTTCATTGCCCTCTACACACATGTGCACTTGCACACACAAATACACACACACACACACACACACACCCCCCTCAGATCCTTTTGTGTGTTTCCTATGGCATTTCAATACTCATTTAGAGCTTTTTATACATTTCAAATAAATACTTCCTGTATTTCTATAATTATTTGAGATGTTTTAAAATTTTATTTTAGTAAAAAATTTCCATGTAATCTAAAATAAAATAATCAGCTAAGTTTCCTTATTTTTATAATATGTGAGATTTTTATTATTATAGAGCTGTGTGTTGAATACCCACTTACTTTGCCAGCTTAGTGTGCCTGGAATGTGCTGTATTTGTCTTCCTTTTTAAAACAACCACCACATATGGTTATGAGACCCAACACAATTAATAATAACACATATTCAAATGGCCTCTCTCCTCTTACAGGTTATTAAAAGGGCACACAAAACTAATATTGCTATTTTTTCTAAAATCCACTCCTAAATCCTACACCCACCTACTTTTCCCAGACCCTTATCACTCTGCAAAATGATTTACAGTGAGAATGGTGGCAGTTAATCCATAGTAGTAAAGGAAATCTCAGTAGTGAGTCATGAAGTCCCTGTATTAGTCCATTTTGTGTTGCTATAAAAGAAGACCTGAGGCTGGGGAATTTATAAATAAAAGAGGTTTAGACCAGGCTTGGTGACTAATGCCTGAAATCCCAACACTGGGAAGCTGAGGCCGGTGGATCACTTGAGGTCAGGAGTTCGAGACCAGCCTGGCCAACATGGTGAAACCCTGCCTCTACTAAAAATACAAAAAATTATCTGGGTGTGGTTGTGCGTGCCTGTAATCCCAGCTACTTGGGAGACTGAGGCACGATAATTGCTTGAACCTGGGAGGCCGATTTTGCAGTGAGCTGAGATCACGTCACTGTACTCCAGCGTGGAAGACAAAGTGAGACTGTGTCAAAAAAGAAAAAAAAAAGAGAGAGAAGAGAAAAGAAAAAATAGAAGAAAAGAGTAAGTTTATTTGATTCACAGTTCTGCAGGTTGTAAAAGTGGCATGGCGCCAGCATCTGCTTTGGGTGGGGCTTTAGGAAGTTTTCAATCATAGCCTAAGGTGGAGGGAAGTAAACACATAACATGGCAAGAGAGGGAGAAAGAGATTGTGGGGAGGTCCTGTGCTTTTTTAAATAACTGGCTCTCCTGTGAACTAAGAGAGCAAGAACTCCTTCATTACCACAGGGATGGCACCAAACCATTAATGAGAGATCTGCCTCCATGACATGACAGGAACACGTCCCACGAGTCCCCACCTCCAACATTGTAGACCACATTTCAACGTAAGATTTGGAGAGGACAAATATCCAAACTATATCAGACCCTTTCACTTGTTTGAAGAAATCCCAAGGCTATTCCTGAAACTGAAATTTTGAAAGTGAAACCTATAAACACAGTAAAGCACTAAGGAAGAAACTATGATCTAGCCAATGTGTTGGGATTTTAATATATGTTATAAACGTTGCATGGATTTGGTTGGAGGTAAAGTATGGGGAGACAGTAATAGTAACTTGAATTTGAGGGGTTACTTTTGATCTATTTCTCTTGATTGTTACAGAGTTGAGTCCCTTTTTGCTAAAAGGGTTTCTTCCTAAGAACTTATCTCTATTTTGCTACACTTAACATTCCTGAGGCCAGACAGCTGCAGGCAGGAAGCAGTCATCCCCAGAATTTTACAAAGTGCACCAAAATCACAAGAGCTTCTGTCCACAGAGTTAAACTTTATTATTTTGTGTGAACATTTCTAACGAGAATATTTACTAACCACGACTCAGCCCCATTATTCTTTAAATTCCTATGATTTAAGTTATTAAAATTTAAATGATGTGTAAATAATTGGACTGATGATCAGACAAAACCAAGGCTTGCTGAACAAACATATATGCTGGAGTATGGAAATAGAGGTGAATTAATACAGAAAGAGCACATAACAAATTGATTATATTCATCCTAGTCAGTTGATTTACAGAGGATTTTTGGATAATGTATTTCAAGTCAAAGAATCGTATAAGGGAATCTAAACCAGAGCTGCAGGGTGTAAGTGGATGGAGCCCTAAGAAAAGTGTGTGTGTGTGTGTGCGCTAAAACACATGCAGTAAACCGCAGCTGTAAAGGACTATGTGGCTTTAGATATATGCATTTTCAACTCATGATAGAGTATGACAAGTTTTGCTCTATCACGATTGTATATCTATTTTTATGGTAATTTTGTGTCTTTTTCTTGGATTTTTTTTTTTTTTTTTTTTTTTTTACAAAGCTAAGGATGCTTGGCTTTAGGATAGAACAAAAGTATCTCTCACCCAACACTGTCATTTTTCAGATGATGATTGCAAATTTAAGCATTACTACTCTATGTAAATTGTAAAAAAACTAAACAAGATGCTTAGCCCATAAAATGACAATATTCCTGATATATCTGATTACAGATATATGAAGGTTGATTGTGTCACACTTACTTGGTGATGGAAAAGCAATAGTATTGAATAATACGTAAACATAGGAATCTCTCTATATTTGGTTTACCAGAAGGTAAAAATTCATATAAATAATTTCTGATATGATATTATCATTTCGAAGCAATGTTGGTTGGGGGGGCATAGTTTGTTTGCTTGCTTGTTTGTATTTGTTTTATCCATGTAGTACAGTAATTTCCAGAACACTGCAGAGTTCGAATACTCATCGCAACTGAGCTTAGTTTAAATACCTCTAACTTATGAAGCAGTTGCAGTGCCAAATAACAATGATGTTTATTATAGTTACATGAGTTAGAACTTTTCGTATTTATTGAATAATTTTTCACAATATCTAAAGAAAAAACATAGAGAATAGGCTTGCTTGATTTTGCTATTTTTCAGAAAGTTATATATTTAATTTACTTTTAGTACGTTTAACACAAAAAAGTTTATACATTTGCAGTAGTTTATCCACCAATCTAAAGATATCCTAATTTAGGTAGTGAGTTTGCTGAACTGAGACTACATAGTATTGAGTTGATATCACAGTTATAATAGAATGTTCTCAAACACTCACCAGATCCAATTATTTCCATATGAGAAAAAGAGCAATGTGATATATTTTTAAATGGTAGAAACACTAGCAATTACACACAATTTAAAACTAGACTTCTTGTGTTTTGAGAATTGCAGCATATTAAAGCAGATTATTTTTTGTAAACCCAAATCACATTTCAAAAATAAAGTATTTGGTTGCTATGGATTGAAATGCATTATCCCACCCAAAATTCGTATATTCAAGCACCAATGTGATTGCCTTTGGAGGAGAAGCTTTTAGAAGGGGGATTAAGGTTACATGAGGTCCTAAGAGTGGGGTCTGCATCCCATAGGATTAGGGGCTTTGTAAGCAGAGAAAGAGATTCTTTCTCTTTGCACTCACATGCACCAAGGAATGCCCATGTGCAACCCAATGCGAGAGCTATCACTAGATATTGATCTTGCTGGCACCTTGATCTTAGATGCCCAATTTCCAGGACTGTGAGAAAAATAAAAATTCTGTTATTTAAGACTCCCAATTCATAATATTTTGTTATGGCAGCCTGAGCTGACTACGACATTGTTCTTTAGGGGAAAAAAAAAAAAGCATTTCAAAAAAATTCTTGCCATCATGGGAAATCAAATAGAAATCAAAGAAGAAACTCACTTTCTACATATTTTTTCCATCTTTTCTTTTCCCTGTAACCTATTTAACTACATCCTGGTCAATGTAAAATTTATTGTTTTTATAACTCTTCCTTAGTATCCAAAATTTTCATAAGTTAATTTTGCTTTGTTGGGTTTTCTTTAAACCTTTAGCCTTGAAGTATTGACAGTTGATGCTATTGCTCTGTTTAAACTCATTAAGAGTTGCCCTGCCTGTAGGATAAAATCCAGATTATTGGGTATGAGATTCAAATCTTCCCAAAGACCTTTCTAATAATCTCTCTAAATTTGTCTTCTACTGTGCCAACTGGACTTTCAGCAAGAATTAGGAATAGTTATAATTTTACAGGTAGAGGATGGCATCTAGAGAATGGCTTATACAGTGAAACATTTAATTACTGAAAAAGTCTGAAGTAGTATTGCAGTATTTTGGAGGCAGCTTGAGCTCTTTATGCAAAACCTTGACTAATTTAAGTAAGAAAGAAATGGTCTAAAAATTACCTTTTATTTTTGGGCTAAAATAAAAAGATTGGAGGAGATCACCAAAATCTAAATAATAATTAGTTGTGAGAACACCTATTTGCATTGAGTTAGTAAATTTTGATTGACCATTTTCTTTTTGAAGGTGATAATTTCTATGAAGTAATACTTTTCATAATTCATAATGTGCACCTCAGTAGAAACTCAGCTTACATAATCAGAGTTCACCTATAAAACAGTTGCCTATCTTTGAATCATGTTACTATGACAATCATTATTTTAGTTTATACCAACATGCTCTTGAATTTTTTTGTTGTTGTTGTTTATTTTTTGTAATATCTAGAATTTCCATGAAAACTTTTCTCTCAATTCTGGAGTAGTTCACTCCCTTTTCACTCTAAATATTCTCTCTTTAGCTAAAAATACCAATGTATTCCACAGAGTTGTTAAGAATTTGCAATGTCTTGGAACTGTAAACATCTACTTTGAAATGTTTTTTATAGAGAATTTATTGAACAACATGATAGCCTTTTTTATTGAGAGCTGATTACCTTACTTTTTCTTACTTTATATATATATATAAATATATATATAAAATTTTACTTTTATATATTTTTTATTATACTTTAAGTTCTAGGGTACATGTGCACGATGTGCAGGTTTGTTACATATGTATACATGTGCCATGTTGGTGTGCTGCACCCATTAACTCATCATTTACATTAGGTATATCTCCTAAAGCTATCCCTCCCCACTCCCCTAATTTCATGGCAAAAAAAAAATGATTTTGCAAAGCTTGAAAAATAAATGGATAAAATACAATCATAAGTTTATCATGTTAGAGTGGCAGATTATGTAGATAGATGTCATTTGGCATTAAGTGACAGTAAGTTGCAGTATGCTGTTCACAGAGACATGGATGGCTATTCTATTTGTTATACAGATGCTTAACTTAATGCTGTGCATTGAATTTTGAAGATGCCCTTTGATTTGCCCAGATTAGTATGCCATACTGCTAGAGATATGACACAGGGGATAGAAAATCAAAATTGTTTCCATTTTCTTTTTGTTGTTGTTGTTGCCTGACATCCTTGACTCTAAGATTTACTCATTATGCCTAACACCTTCCTATCAATTTGGATGTTAGAATTTAATTTGAGTAGAAAAATGCATAGTGTTTGTAGAGCTAATTTGGATAGCTTATATCTTTTAGATATTTTGTAATTTAAAAAATTAGAAAATGCTATTGTCATTTATAGTTCAAGTTGTATTTGACTATACAACCAAAAGATAATGAGTATTCTTTGCATACATTGTGGTAGACTTTGCATGCATCAATTGAATCCTCCTAATATATCTCCACATGGATCTTGGAAACACTGTTCAATGGTATAAATTCCCAAACAGAGTGAGAAAGAACATCTGCTGAGGGGGTTATGTAATTTTCCAGTCAATTTGTTCTGTCAAAAAGATAAAGCATTTCATTCCTTTAAAGAAACCAGTAGCATTGGATGGGGTGAGGGTGGAGCTTAAAATATTATACAAATTGATGACAATATCTCTATATTTAAAATAATTTTTCTATCACACAGAGGGATATTAGTGCTGCTAAATCTCTCCTATTTCTAAATTAGTAGTTCTGATACAAAAATATATTATTTTTCAAGATATTGTGTCATTTCATGACACTTAAAAACTGCTTTGTCATAAAAATGTTAAGTGGGTTTATGCAAGAATGTTAAAGTAGATAGTATCAATGTTGTTACTCCAACTGCCAATAATTTTCTCATTTTGAGTGAATTTATGAGTATTTATGTTAACATAAAGCCTTTTCTTTTTTTACTAAAACAATTATTTGAAAAATTATTATTGCTAGTCCTCTTACTGACATGAAGAATTTATGTAAAACATTAGAACAATTTCTACCTGTGGATAAATAGTACCATGTAAAAACTAACATTTTATTAAGAAATACCTGAAGAATTATGACACGTTATACTTTATTTTAGCCAACATAGACATAGAACTTATAAGATATAGTTTCCAATTATTTTGAAATTTATCTTTATTTTAAGAACATATGAGACAAAGTTTCTAATTATCTTGAAAGTTTAATGAGTGCCTATTAAACAGACATTACTGTTACTTATTAAGAAATAAAATTTGAAGTTGCAATGAATATTAGAACTATTAGAAAAGTCTAATATTATGGTAAAATTCATGCTAGAAAGATAAACGTTTCTGATTTTCACACATGCTCACAAATATTTGTATTAGTTTCCTTAAGTCTTCACTATTTTCTTTCCTTATATAAAACTTAGAACTTTCAGTTATGCATAAAATAGTTTCCTGTTTCAAAAAATAATGGTTAGCTTTTTAGAGAATAATAAAACAAGTGCTTAATAACTGAAATTGATTCTTTGATCGGAAAGTACTTTAATTTTCCCTATGTGAGTCTAACTCTACAATGACAGATTTTATGTGTATTGAGAGCTGCCCTTCTTATGACAGTTAAAAATTCAGGTTAGAAAATGTATTCTTTATGGAAAGGGGATGTATTTATCAGCATGTGGAAAGTTCATTAGATGGGCAGCAGGAATGTGTGCCCTCTTAGTTGACTGATGCAAGCTGCGGTGGAACCCCCTGGTGCCCTTGCCAGTCATCTGGAAAAGATCACCAATCAAGGATTGGCCTTTACTGTGACACATCCACAATATCACATGTCAAATGCAAGGAACAAAAGGTATTTTGGGTTTTTAAATTAGAAAGTGAAGTTACAGGGAATAGAACAATGCTATTTTACTCTGCTAACAAAATATTCAGGACATAATGTTATTCATCCGTTCCCTGATCCTATTCCTATGTCTAATTTGTCAAATCAATTCTGTTAGCGCAATGATTCCTAAAACTTTTTAAGTCATATGTTAGTATTATGTTTTATGCCACATCTAAACATTATATACAGTTAAACCAAATCATATTTTAACTTAAATAAATGATATATTTTTAAAATTTTTTATTTTAAGTTCTAGGGTACACGTATAGGATGTGCAGGTTTGTTGCATAGGTAAACATGTGCTATGGTGGTTTGCTGCACTTGTCAACCCATCATTTAGGTATTAGCCCAGCATGCATTAGCTATTTTTCCTAATGCTTTCCCTCCCACATCTACCTCCCAACAGGCCCCAGTGTGAGCTGTTCCCCTCCCTATGTTCATGTGTTCTCATTGTTCAGCTCCCACTTATAAGTAAGAATGTGCAGTATTTGGTTTTCTGTTCCTGCATTAGTTTGCTGAGCATAATGGCTTCCAGCTCCATCCATGTCCCCACAAAGGACATGAGCTCATTCTTTTTTATAGCTGCATAGTATCCATGGTGTATATGTACCATATATTCTTTATCCAATCTATCATTGGTGGGCCTTTGGGTTGATTCCATGTCTTTGCTATTTTGAATAGTGCAGTAATAAACATATGCATGCATGTATCTTTGCAATATATATATACACAGTAATGGGATTGATAAAAGTTTTATATCATTATAGACGAAATGTTTGTATCACTTAGTGTTCAAGTGAAGCAAATAATTTATTTTTTCTAATATATTAACAAATTATTATTTTTTCTTAAAAAAAAAGACATGCTCAACATGAGGAAGCTGAAGTATACACTCATATCACACTTTGAAAGCCATTACTATTAGGTAGACAAGTCACATAATAAGGCCAAAAAGGGTTTTGGTTTTTTCTGGGCATTATTAAGACAAGTTTTCTCAAATTTATTAACTGTATAATCTCAGTCTATTTACATTTACATGTGGAAGTATCCCACATGATAATAATTTGAAGTG
Organism: Homo sapiens; assembly: GCF_000001405.40. Lineage (NCBI taxonomy): Eukaryota > Metazoa > Chordata > Mammalia > Primates > Hominidae > Homo > Homo sapiens. The sequence continues at coordinate 93,920,949 of NC_000006.12, read as the reverse complement.
TGCCCAGTTTATTAAAACTGAGGCTTTGCTACACACACACACACACACACACACACACGCATGCACATAAATGTGAATGGCACAAATGGCAACAAGACAACTGCATCCCCTCACTATCTAGAGCACTTGCTATGACCCATTTGTATTACCACATCTTGCTTTACTTTTGGACTTCTCCTGCTAAATTTTTCGAAGTACAGTGAGAACTGATGCTTTAAGCTAAATGTCCCTAGCTAAATTTCAGGTTCAATCTTGGACTTTTATTCATTTTATTTCTTCATTTAGTATCATGAAAAATCCCTCACCAACATATTTTTAGTTTAGTGTAGCTTATGGAATACATAATTTCTGTAGAGTTCACCATGTGATGCCGCACTATACTTTCATCAGAATCTGTGAGGAAGATCAGAACCCTGGAGAACAGGGAAGAGAAGGAGAAAGGGAACAAATTGGAAAAAAACATTTATATGTAGCGCAGACAAGAGTAATATCAATGCCTCTGCTTTAACAACATTTCTAATGACATTTATCAATGTAAATAAGTTAATTTTATAAAGCATAAAGAATAGAATTAAGTTATTACCATTACCATCATTGCTAATATTTATTGAATTTTATTCTACCTATCGTAACCAAATTTTACAAAAGTCATTCATTCCCAGAAGGGTTCTATGAATTCGTTCCTATAATTATATTTATTTTACAGATGAAGAAACCAAAGCACAAAAATTTAACATATTCAAAGTCACACAAATAGTAATAGAATCTAGGGAAAAAATTGATATCAGAGTCTGAAACTTTTGTTTGTCTATAACACATAATCTATTAACTAAAATTGAACACTATTAATATTTTGTCATATTTACTTTCAGTTCTTATTCAAAAATGGGTACATATATATTTGAATCCTATAAAATACAGATCATAGTATGCTATTGCATGTTATATATGTTCTTATTGAATATTTTTAACTAAGTAGTTTTATCAAAGACACTTCATAAGAAATTAAATATTTATTTTATGGACCAAATAGTACTTTTTGAGGACTTACAGCACAGATTTCCAAATTTTCCATTTATGAAACTCTTAGTGTCTCAGTAGTATTTCTTGACAGTACTCTTAGAAAAAAACACAGTTCTGTTTATTAAGAAGTTAAGAGCATATAATTTAATAAGTGTTTATATCTTTAAAAAGTAATGTCATTGAAAAAATAATACACATAAAAATAGGAAATTATTTTATTCTTAAATAACTACAATCAATTACAAATTGAATGTATAAACCTGCCCAGCACTGCCTAATACGCAAACCTGGGAATCATATTGGACCCTGCTACCCTCATTTTCTGTTCCAATATTGATTTTTGCACAGCACCTGATGTTCTTCCTGGAAGAGCTGAAAACCCAGCTTGGTAAAGATATGATGTCACTGGGAATTGCAGCACATTCTAATGTTGAAACAGTGAACTGCATGAAACTAGTAAATATACAATATCTGTCAGGTGTCAAATACTGTTGTGTTTCTCTCTAAAGCTTAAAATATCTCATGGAACTCCTAAAGGGTTTCTTATAGTACCCCATGGTGTCTCGATATATAGTTTGGAAGCCACAGGCTAATATGGAGACAAGCATCACTAATTTTTTCATGGATTTGGTTTTGCAGTTTAGACAGGGCTCCGAAGGAATACTTCATCCTTGCTCTATGTGGTCTACGGTAGGGAGACTTAACTGAAATGGGAGGATCAATTTGAAGATGGCTCACCTTTATGGCTAAGAAGTTGGTTCTGGCTTTATCTGAGAACTTAGGAGGGAAACTGAAGAGGAGGCTTAAATTGTCTGCCTCATGGGTCTCTCCATATGGCTGCCTGGCAGCCTGACGGCCATATTCCAAAGAACAGAATGGAAGCTGCTTAAAGACTAGGCCCCAAATTGGCACATTATTACTTCTATCAGTCACAGAAGATACAGGTGCAGTACAGATTGAATGGGATGAACAATTAGACTGTACTTCTCAGGACAGAGGGGCAAATTTTAGTTGAAGTTTAATCTACTATAGTTAGTATAAAATATGTCAAGCAAATATAATCCTGGAAATACTTTAGGGAGTCATAAAAGCTCACTTCATTTAAATTCCAGTGTACTGTATGCAATATGCCATTTTAATAGTACGATCCTGAAGAGAAAATACTATACTGCATGGATTGTCTGAAAGGCAGTGTTTGATTCCAGATTTCTTGAAAGAGTATGAGTATGGGATGATCAATGTACATTTAAATACATTACTTGTTTTTGAACAATTATCTTTATAGATTGATAGAGAAAGAGAGGAATTTATTATAAGGAATTGGTTCACATGATTTGGGAGTCTAGAAGTTTCAAAATTTGTTGTCAGCATTCTAGAAACCCTGGCGAGCTGCCAATATAGCTTCAGTCTGAGTCCAGAAACCTGAAAACCAGGAGAATCAATAGTGTCAGTTCCAGTTCCAGTTCAAGTCTGAGTCCATAGGCAGAAAAAGACCAATGTTCTAGTTTGAAAACAGTCAAAGAGCAGATTTTCCCTTACTCAGCCCTTTTGTTCCATCCAGACCTCCAACCGATTGGATGAAGCCCACTCCATTGGGGAGGGCAGTCGACTTTACTCAGTCCACCTATTCAAATGTTAATCTCATCCAAAAACACCCTTATAGACACACCCAAAATAATGTTTAGCCAAATATCTGGGCATCCCGTGGCCCAGTCATGTTGACATAAAAATTAATCATCACGTCAATTTTTTCATAATTAAAAATGACAATGAACATCCTAATATATAAATACTTGTTCCTGGCCTCACTATATTTTAGGATCAATTCCAGAAGTAAAGATGCTCTATCAAAGGATATGAAAACCTATTTTTTTATATTGCCAAATTATCTCTAGCAGTGTGAGTGCCCATTTCTTCACATTCTCACCAGTAGCACCTGTTTCCCTTGTACTTTTTAATCTTCATTCCCCTTGTCTAATGGTCTGCAAGCAATAATGCTTGTGATTAAAAACTTGGAATATTTAAGGAAAAAATATGATTTCTGGAAATACAATAAACCACTACTCTATGATGAGGTGTGTATACCTCTGTAGTTTGTTATAGCATGAACCATAAATACCATTATTTTCCGTTGCTAAATTGTCATCTTTCCGGTTGGTTTGGCTTGTTCCCCTTTACTGTCTCTGCTGCTGCTCTCCTTCCAGTATTTAACAAAGTTTCTTTATCCATAATGCCTTATTCTGTGATAGATAGCAGCTGTTTTACAAATATATTCATAGTGATTTTAAGAGTTAAAGTGAAACTTTTAATAGCTTAATTCTATAAGAGTGCCTCTTCCTTTGTGCTTTGTGAAGAGCTTTCTGGGTTTTTTTGTTGTTGTTCTTTTTTTTTTTTTTTTTTTTAATAGCATCTCTTTTCCTCCAACTGGAGACTCCTGGGGAATCTTTGTTCTGTGTTGTAATCCATACTATCTCTTATGTGACATTGACAGACATGAGTCTATTGTCTGATCCCTCTGTTGGGAAAAGCAATTCATCATCACACTTCCAAGTAAAGCTGATCTTCTAATGGGAAGTGACTTGGCACTTCCGGTATAACATCATTAAACATCTTCCTGGCAGCCAAAGTTCAGGAATAACTGTACCTACCCAGTTCAAATTCAATTTTATCCAGAATTCACTTATCTTGAATTGTATCACTAAACTTGATATATGCAATCTAACAAACATAATAGCCAAATCGATATAGGAACTTCAAGTTTTATCTCAATTTTCAAGAACTGATATCTAACTTCATTCCCTTTGACTTAAAGTTTGTTCTGTGGTTTTTGATTTTTAAAAAGCAGTTTACCTGAATTAACATTGACCATGAATTTGTAAACAATGCCTCAGTCTTTTATTTTACTAAAATATTGTGTAGTCAGTATCTGCATTTTGCATAGTACAAGAAAGCAACAAAACGTTCTCTTAGCAAATGCAAGTGCCTTCTGGTTCTATGCACAAAAAGACTAAATGATAAAACAGGAAAGATGATATGACTCACTGTTCTCAGCTCCACCCACATCTTCAGTTTCTTTTAATGATTGCCTAAAATTACTGTCACCAGATTTTATTTTATTTTTTATTTTTTGATCTTCTAAAGCTTATTAGGGCTACTGTAACTGACTTCTACATATCTGGGGGAGAATGATCCCTTTCCTGGAGATACTTGATTTTCTTCTATTTTTAGTCAGTAATTTTCCTGTCTAAAATCTTTTGAAATCCATTAGTCTAAAATATGCAAGTAAACAAACAGCCTTATCAAATTTGATACACACCAAAGAGGATGGAATTTGTAGAAACCAAGGGAAAGTTTCTTCTCAGACCTCTGAAGATTTGCTGAAAATGAACTGACAGTGAAACCACTTTTGCGAAGAGTATAACAGTAAGAAAATTATGACAGTGAAAGAGATCTGACCTAACCAATTCCATCTTGCTTCTAACTTCCAAGCTTCCCTAGTTCATTCCTGGGCATAGGCTGAACTAACTTTGACAGGAATTTAGTTTATAGTTCAACTTTGAAACAAACTCTGTCCTTGCTTGAAAACCAGTTTGCCTTTGTCAAACCAACAAATTAGCTGAAAGATTAGAAATTACAGCTCAGGAGTCATGAAGCCAGAGGCCACAAGATTCTTAACATCCTCAGTTGCTGCTATGAATAACATCACTATTGTAAACCAAAGGTTGGTGTCTGAGGTGTTTCTTAGACCCTACATTCTGATGGATCAGTTGGCACCACCTGGACTGGTAAACTGGCTTATCTGGTTTTATGGTCCACACCCAGGAACTGATTCAGTGCAAAAGGACAGCTTTGACTTCCTATAATTTCATCTCCAAACCAAACAATCAGCATTTTCCATTCCCTAGCCCCCTGCCCACCAAACTATCATTACAAAATCCTAGCCTCTGGATTTTTGGGGAAGTTGATTTAAGTAACAATAAAACTCCAGTCTCCTGTTTAGCAGTCTTTACATGTATTAAATCTTTCTCTATTGCAATTCCCCTGTCTTGAAAAATCAGCTCTATCTGGGCAGCAGGCAAAATGAACCTGTGGTGTGGTGACAACAGTAGACAGAAAAATAGGCGATTTATTTAATATACCTAGCACTGGGCAATCACAGAAAAATGATTACTCAATAACCCAGTGAGGTACAGATGCTAATATACCCTTCTTCACAGGGGAAATGGGGAGAGGGGGAAAGTAGACAATTCTTTCAAGAGATAGTAAACTGATTATTAGGGAGAATTAATGGAACTGGGAGATAGAAATTAGCTTATAAATGATTCTCTTTGGAATTTGCAATAGGTAAACATTATCTTGTGAAAAACTCTGTCCAGGTGTGGTTGCATTCCTCAGTTTACCTTTTCTGGGCTAGATAATGAGATTTCGGGAAGGGGATTGGCAGCAATCAAGTTTTCTTTGGTGGGTCCAGTCTTCATGCAGATAAGGGAATAACAGAGAAAAGCATCATCCTGAACTTTGGGAGAGATGGAAGGTTGAGAGATAGGAGAGGTGACAGAGAGGGGTGGTCAGAGAGACCTCAAAGTTGCTTCTATAGTTGTCAAAGCACCATAATTTGGGATAGTGTCTTCTGGGTCCCCATAGAAATCTAATAAAGAGGCATCATTTTAAACTATGAATCCCAACGACTTTATCAACTAAATCTCCAATTATTCCCAGATCAAATTAATGGAAGGAATACAGCTAATATTTGAATTCTGGATTCTGTAAACAGAATCTCTCTGGTCCATCCTAACGTAAGTACATCATGTGCAAAGCAATTACTTCTTTTTGTATTTTTATTTATGTGAAAAATTAATTAAACAAACCTTTTATATAAATAAAAAGGGACATTTAATATATCACTTAGTTTTAAAGATTTTGGCTAATTATCACATGTAAGTAACTTCAGTTCTAGGAATGAATAAATGTCACTCTTAACAATGCCTGTGTGTTTAATCACTAGAAAAGGAGTCCTTTATACTCAATTCACCCTCCTCTGTTTGGCTTATTAACCATATCAAATTAACTTTAACTGCTGTTTCCAAAGGTCACTTCTCACTTTGTAATTAAATATCCTATTCAATCACAACCAATGCAACATGAATCTCTTCCACTGGAAATGTGCCTAGGTTCTATTTGTTTTTCCTGGCATGTAGCATGTACTATATTGCAAATCTTGCTTCAAGAAATAAATGAAACAAATGCCTAGAAAAATATGAATGATTTAAAAAATGGTTAGCTATGAGAAGAAAAATACTGATCTATAAGAATTTATTACAATAAATTACTTAAAATAAAAGGGTAACTTTTTTCTGTTTTTCTGTAGCTGAAAATAGTAAGTAAATATAATGAAAAAATTAAGATAAATAAAATTTAAATAAATTATAATTTAAAAATTGTTAGGAAAAAATAGTTAAATTATTACTCATTTACATTATGAATTTAAATTTTTTAATTTGTTTTCTATGCATGCTGATATTTATGAAAAAGTATAATAGTCAATTCACCAAAAAAAAAATTAAGTGCTAAAAGACAGTGTGGCATACATACACAAGGACATATGTATGAAAATCCTTAAAAGATAGTCAGTATCACAGAATGGAAATTATATCAACTTTGGAGCAAAGAACCTGACTCAAATCCCTGTTCATTTGTAATCAGTTTTGTGAAGATTGTCATTCATGTAACCTCGCTAAAGCTGTTTATTCACTAGTAAAATGGATAAAAGTGTAATTTTGAAGTTTTCGTAGGAGGATAAAAATATGGAATCCATATAACGTGCTTAGCACCATGCTTGGCTCATATTTGGGGATAAATTAAGGATACTACTAATAATAATTACAATTACTAATACTAATGACAGAGAGTTACATGCCCTAGAGAAATATAGCTTGAAATGGCAGAGAGTTAACAGCATAGGATCTGCTCTTATTCAAATAGACACAAAGATATAAAAAAAGTGTAAGAGTCTCAATGAAAACAGGAATAAAGAATTCCATGTTACCAGAACCAAAGATAAACTTTACTTTTGGAGCAAATACACAAATGTGAATTAATCAGCTTGTGGCTGACACAAAGTTTAGAAAACAATATGTCAAAAAAATGACAGTGGAAGATGAAGATCAGGCTCCTGTCTACTTTCAGAGCCAGAATTGAGCTCTGTTAGAGACACAAACCAATGTGAGCATGTACACTGTCACCAGAGTCTGCTGTCCCAGGTAATTAAAATTACGTTCTTCCTCTCTTCTGCTCCCGGTAAGGATCTAGCTGTATTATTGTAAACAATATAAAATTCGTATATTTAATCCCTTCTATGAAAGAAGGGACACAAACTGGTGAACAGTCAAGCTCAGGAGCAAATTCTTTTAACCACTCTTGGTGCTGTTGTTTCTTATCCTTTTTTCAAAGGAATAATATGGGAAACAAGCTCACAGAGCAGCAAGGGAATGATAGTTTCTGTGATTGACTTTGCTTGATCATGTGCTTGTTCTTTCCTAGCTATTTAGTAACATGGATGAAGTATTACGATTTGGTAGTCCTGCTTGGGATTTCAAGAGTACCGTCAATTCCAGCTAAATCTCACAGCAAAAATTATTTGTAGTAATTAGAGATTCTTATGCCAGAGGAAGTGGCTAAAAGAGCTAGATATGACCAGAGATTTCACTATATAGATTTAAGTATATCCCATGTATTTAGCACTGTAGAAGCCACTGATAACCTTAAAGTTATTTGATTTGAGACAAACGGGGTCCCAATGAAGAGTATAGAAATAAAGACAGATTGACGGAGAGCTAAAGAGGCTGGGTAAATAGATTGGGGGTAGTTGGGGAATCATTCCCCTGATGCTCTAGGTTATTATTTTTTTAATGAAAAGGTTTAAGCCAATTTAAAAGTTTTTATAAAGGACCTATTTGAGAAGTGGTTAAAGGGCCCAAAGAAAGGGTTAATTCTCAGTAGAAGAGGAAAGATTTCCTCTATTTTAGCAAGAACAGAATGGGGACATATCTCATGATAATAAATATAATTACTTATATTTTTATTGTAAAGTATAAGGCAATGTGAGAGTAAACTCAGTGAGGACTCAGATGGACATGAATCGAAATGGTTCTGACTGATGGAAAATATATGAATTATGCAAAGGCTCATACTAAGATTGCAAGGGGGGAAGTGATATTGGTAATTGATGTTGTTTTTTAGGTTATAATTGATACTTCTTTGGGTATACTTTTCTTTTGTGTGACTTATTCCAGTAGTGTTTGACTCCCCTTGATATAGGCAAAAATAAAATCTAACACTAATTGCATTCATTCAGGGTTACACTTTTGACTACTGAGGCAACAAAAGTAGAGGGTAAATAAAGTTTATGTGTTGTAAGAAAGTTACAATAATTGATCTAGGATTTTAAGCTGTGGAGGAAGATTGTGACAGGAAAGAAAAAAGCTAGTGAGAGGACTCATAAAAAGTGGTAGACTGGAGATCCTAATATAGAATGATGACAGTAGTACTAGAAATATCTGAAAAGCCAATTGGAATGAGGTAAGATTAGAATCAAAAAATGCATTGCAAAATTTAGAGGGAACAGTTCCATGTTATGAAACCTCTAAATAGAAAGGATATGGGGAGAATTGAAAGTGTACTCTAGTCTTCACCCTTTATTGCCAGTCTATAGGTTCTGTTTCTTTTGTGAAATTGAATATTAAAGGAAAATGAAGTATGACTGTAGAGAGCACAAAAATAGCCAGAAGTTTTGTAGGAAGGGATTTGCATCTTTTTAATGGAGGGAAAAAGGGTAGAGAGATCCTAGTTTAATTTGGCATAAGACCAGACATTTAAAAATCAAGTCAGTAAGCATAAAATCAAATTAAAAATAAAATTAGATGCACCAATTATTTCAGTTAAGACTATTTTTGTTGTAATAATAGAAGACAAATTGAATAAAATAAATTGGAAAAGAAAAATTGAAATGTCCACAAAGCATATTCAAAAATAGTTTAGTTTGTACAGATATTCAAATTACATCAATGAAATATTATTTTATGATCCATAAATTGTTAAAAGAATAAAATATAATAGTGTTGGCAAGTGAAGCCTTAAATTAGTTCTTTTATAAATGTCAAGTGGTAGTAATCTGATACAAGTAAACAATTTTATAATAGGTATAAGAATTTTATATAATATGACCTTGACCCAAATACTGTATATCTAAAAATATATTGTTAGAATATGTATAATACTTTTTAAATCTAGACATTAATAAAATTTTACTTATAAAATCCAAACTGGGAAAATATTAATAATAAATTACCAAATTACATTTTTGAAACCAGGTAATAACGAACAATTATTATCACTGCCTACCAGATAATGGGGACTTTATTTTTTTCTTTCACATTTCAGTATTCTTTAATACATTTTCTATTTGGACATAATATTTTCATAATGAGAATGAATTTTTCTAGCCTGAAATCCACAGTCCCCAGAAAACAAAGCATAAAACAAGTTCTCAACTTGAGAAAGAATTTATTTGGGGTTGTGAGCTCAGTTAACAACTGTGAAGATTGAAGAGAATAAAACAGAGAAAGAAGGAGTGATAATGGCCAAGTGTGGTACTGAGTTGTCTTCTCTACTGTGGAAAACTATGAATCAGTCCTGCTAGGACCTTCTAAAGAGCTATATAGGAATGCACCTTAAAATTGTTCACCTGAAGGATGAAAGAGAAAAACATTTACCCACAGAGTCACATCTCATGCTAATTGAGCATTGCCTTCAGAGATGTACCTCTGCAATTCCAAAACACATGTGAATACATAGCAGGTCCCACAAATTGTCCTGAGACAAAGAGAGAGAGATGCAGCATTCTCCAGGTAAGTTACTGTGCAAAACAAGTCCAAGACCACATGGAACCGTACAATAGGTAAAGCTTAAAACACTGCTACGTCCCAGAAGATATGAGTCATAGTAAAGAGAGATGTGATTAAATAATGCAATAGATTATACTTAGAATTGTATATGTAAAACATATAGGCTGTGTTTTATTGACATTGTCGGGGGATCAGAAACAGACACTCCAAAATATGGCACTTTGACAGGCTGAACTGAAGAAGCTTCAAGGTCTCTCAAACCTTCTCTACACACCTAACATCCTCCATCCCTCTGAAAGAGCAGGATGAAATTGAATTTTTTTATCTGCCTAAGATCCAAAACCACCAAAGAGAACATTGTTTTTTCTCCTCTCTGTAAGACCAAGAATGCAAACACACCTTAACAAACCGTTTCACAAGATAACCTCTGTGTCTCCCACTCATTCAAATTCCAAAGAAAACTATTTAGAAGTTAATCTCTGTTTTCTGGGCCATTCATTCTCCCTAGTAATCACTTATTGTTCCTCAGCAGAATTCATCTTCTATTCCCTGACATAACCTGTCTTCCCAGGATGGTATATTAGCTTCTGAACCCCCTTGGGAAGCATGTCATCACTCTGCGGTTCTTCCCCTGTACATGTTAATACAATGTGTATGCCTTTTCTGCAATTAACCTACCTTTTCCAAGTTGACTTTTCAGCAAACACATAGAAGGCAAAGGAGAATTTTCCCTTGGCCCCCTACAACATACTACATAGTTTAAATATTTGAACTCTTATTTTATTTATTTCTAATGCACTTACTAGTTATATGAACATGTTTATAATAAAAAGCAAGTTGATAGTGCCTAAAAGTAAGACAAAATACTAGAAATATGTGATTTCTTCTTCAAATCTAACTACTCTCACTCATAATCACAAACATACATGCAAATGTGCACAAATATGGTCAATCCTATACAAGATGGCTTTTAAAAGTTTAGGGAATGTGTGCATTATGAAAAAACTATGAATGGATTTCAATTTTTTGCACCAAAATAAACTCATACAAACTTGTTATAACATGTCTGTAAAGGATCCAGCTTGAGGCACTAAGAATAAGACAATTTGAGAAGAGCCCCCATAAGAGCAACATGAATTCTGCTAAGATAAAGAACAAATTATTAAACTTATTGTGAAAATTGAGTAGAAGAATGGTGAAATCATTGATGTTTCATGACAATGCCCCAAATAAGTCAACAGTTTACAAATAGATGATTCATTTTAAGAAGAGACAAGATGGTGTTAAAGATGAAGCCCACAGAAGCAGACCATCCACATCAATTCACTAGGAAAAGTTTAATCTTTTTTGTGACCTAATTGAAAATGACTGACAACAGAATAAACAATAGCCAATACCATAGACATCTCAAGTGGTTCAGCTTACACAATTTTTACTAAAAAATTATGCTTGAGCAAACTTTCTACTCAATGGGTACCAAAACTGTTGTGCCCAGATCAGCTCCAGACAAGAGTAGAGCTTTCAATGGAAATTTTCTAGTGAGATCAAGGTCCTGAAACATTTATTTTCTTTATTTTAATTTTCAGGATACATGTGCAGAATGTGCAGATTTGTAACATAAGTAAACGTGTGCCATGGTGGTTTGCTGCACCTAACAACCCATCACCCAGGTTTTAAACCCCACATACATTTTTATCCTGATTATCTCCCTCCCCCTACTCCCCTGAAAGGCCTTGGTGGGTGTTGTTCCTATCCCTGTGTCCATGTGCTCTCATTGTTCGGCTCCCACTTATGAATGAGAACATGGGGTGTTTAGTTTTCTGTACCTGTGTTAGTTCGCTGAGGAAAATGGCTTCCAGGTCCATCCATGTCCCCACAAAGGACATGGTCTCATTTCTTTTAATGGCTGCATAGTATTGCATGGTGTATGTGTACCACATTTTCTTTATGCAGTCTATTGTTGGTGGACCTTTGTGTTGATTCCATGTCTTTACTATTGTGAATAGTTCTGGAATAAACATACTCATGAATGTGTCATTATAACAGAATAGGCAAATATTTTATGATGAATCACCAAAAGCAATTGCGACAAAAGTGAAAATTGACAAGTGGGATCTAATTAAACTAAAGAGCTTCTACACAACAAAAGAAAGTATCCTCAGAGCAAACAGGCAACCTGTAGAATACGAGAAAATTTTTGCAATCTACCCATCTGACAAAGGTCTAATATCCAGAATTTACAATGAAGTTAAAGAAATTTACAAGAAAAAAACAAGCAACCCCATCAAAAAGTAGGCAAAGGACATAAAAAGACACTTCTCAAAAGAAGAGATTTATGTGGCCAACAAACATGAAAAAAAGCTCAACATCACTGATCATTAGAGAAATGCAAATCAAAATCACAATGCGATAGTATCTCATACCAGTTAGAATGGTGATTATTAAAAAGTCAAGAGAAAATAGATGCTGGCAAGGCTGTGGAGAAATAGGATCACTTTTTTTGTTTGTTTGTTTGTTTTGTTTTTTGAGACAGAGTCTCGCTCTGTCACCCAGGCTGTACTGCAGTGGCGTGATCTCGGCTCACTGCAAGCTGCACCTCCCGGGTTCACACCATTCTCCTGCTTCAGCCTCCCAAGTAGCTGGGACTACAGGTGCCCGCCACCATGCCCGGCTAATTTTTTGTATTTTTAGTAGGGACGGGGTTTCACTGTGTTAGCCAAGATGGTCTCGATCTCCTGACCTCAAGATCCACCCGCCTCGGCCTCCCAAAGTGCTGGGATTATAGGTGTGAGCCACTGTGCCTGGCTGAAATAGGATCACTTTTACACAGTCGGGAATATAAATTAGTTCAACCATTGTGGAAGACAGTGTAGCAATTCCTCAAGGATCTAGAACCAGAAATATCATGTGATCCAGCAATTCCATTACTGGGTATATACCCAAAGGAATGTAAATTATTCCATCATAAAGCATTTCTTTAAAGAATTATTATAGTAGGTTAAACATGGCTTTACCAATATGATCCTGAAGACAAAGCACAATCAAAGCAATGGCTACCAAGAAGCAAAAGTGGTCTAGTCAAAGCAAATGTGAACCAGTTAAGATCAAAGGCCATGGCAGTAGTTTTGGGGGGATGCTCAAGGTATTTCTTCTGTTGACTTTGTGGAGGGCCAAAGAACAATAACATCTTTTTATTACGAGAGTGTTTTCAGAAAGTTAGTCAAAGTTTTAGCAGAAAAATGCCTAGGAAATCTTCACCAGTATTTCCTCACCAAGAGAATGCTCCTGCTTGCTCACTTCTCTCATCAAACATGGGCAATTTGTGAGAATTTTGATATGAAATCATTAGGCATCCACCTTACAGTCTTGATTATCTTATTTGGATTTATTTTCACTTTCTAATTTTATTAGTCTGTTTTCACACTGCTGATAAAGACATACCAATATAAAGATAATTCACAAAGAAAAAGAGATTTAATGGACTCACAGTTCCACATGGCTGGGGAAGCCTCACAATTATAGCAGAAGGTGAGGGAAGAACAAAGGCACATCTTACTTGGCAGCAGGAAAAGAGAGAATGAGGCCCAAGTGAAAGGGGGGACTGCTTATAAAACCATCAGAACTTGTGAGACTTATTCACTACCATGAGAACAGTTTGGGAAAACTACCCCCAAGATTTAATTATCTCCCACCAGGTCCCACCCACAACACGTGGGAATTATGAGAGGTACAATTCAAGATGAGATGTGGGTGGGGACACAGCCAAACCATATCACTATTCTTAAAAAAAAAAACTATAAATGGCACCCATTTTCTTTAATTAATAATGTAAAAAGACTGCATTCACATGGCTAATTCCCAGGACCTTCATTTCTTTAGAAATGGACTAAATGACTCATGTCATTGCTTTCAAAAGTGTCTTGAACTTAATGGAGCTCAGTATGAGAAATAAAGTTTACAGTTTTTATTTTTATCATTTAATTCCATTTTTCTATGAACTTTTTGAAACCCTCTTGCACATTTCTCCAGTTGCCACTGTACAAGCGGTAAACTTGTTGTTATTTTATCCTTTCATATTGTTCTATATTTTCCTCTTGCCTAAGAGATTATCTCATACTACGGACCCTAAAACTTACTTGGACATTGTGTGATCCCTCTATTCTGCTGTCCAAAAATACCAACTAACATGTCTTTTAAAGGACTAATTCTTTCAATTCTTTGAAGTGACAACTAAACTAGTAAAATATACACACCCTACATTTGAAGTTCCAACATCTCCGAGACTTCTTACTACAGCTTGTTACTAATTTTTAAAATGCAGGTGGTTATGGGGATAGAAAGGAGAATAGATCTAGAAGGCTATGACACACTTAGTGGAAACACTTCCACTTCTCCAACTGTCTTAGGGGTCTTTATGGCTGAGTCAAATAGGTCTCCATCAGTACATCGAGAAGAAGAACTATACTTGCCAAAACCCTTCATGTAATCTTTAGAGAACATTGTCATTACCACTCATTGTACTGCCCTCAAGAGACAGTGTTCTGCTGTGATGACCTGCTCCACTGCGATATATCAAGAAACCCTTGGCTTCCCTGATCTATATCCCCATTATACCCACGTGATCCATATCGAAATGTGAGAGCCTCTTGATATGATTTTGCTGTATCCCCACCCAAATCTCATCTTGAACTGTAGTTCCTATAATTCCCACATTTCATGGAAGGGACCCAGTGGAGAGTAATTGAATCGTGGGGACAGTTACCCTCATGCTGTTCCCATGATAGTGAGTGAGTTCTCAGGCCATCTGTTGGTTTTATTATGAGCTTTTACCCCTTTTGCTTGGCACTTCTCCTTCCTTCCATCATGTGAAGAATGACATGTTTGTTTCCCATTCTACCATGAATGTAAGTTTCCTGAGGCCTCCCCATCCATGCAGAACTGTGAGTCATTAAACCTTTTTCCTTTATAAATTATCCAGTATCAGGCAGTTCCTTATAGCAGCATGAGAATGGACTAATACAGTAAATTGGTACTGCAAAGAGTGAGGTGCTGCTATAAACGTACCCACAAATGTGGAAGTGACTTTGGAACTGGGTAAGAGACAGAGGTTGGAATTGTTTGGAGGGTGAAAAAAAAAAAGGAAGATGTGGGAAAGTTCAGAACTTTCTAGAGACTTGGTTGAATGGCTTTGATCAAAATGCTGCTAGTGATATGGACAATGAAGTCTACGCTGAGATGGTCTCAGATGGAGATGAGGAACTTGTTGGGAACTGGAATAAAGGTGATTCTTGCTATGCTTTAGCAAAGAGACTGGAGGCATGTTGCCCCTGCTCTAAGATCTGTGGAACTTTGAACATGAGAGAGATTATTTAAAGTATCTGGCAGAAGAAACTTCTAAGTAACAAAGCATTCAAGAGGTGATTTAGGTGTTATTAAAAGCATTTAGCATTATATATTCACAAATATATACTTTGGAATTGAAACTTAAGTTTAAAAGGAAATAAGAGCATACAATTTCAGAAAATTTGCAGCCTGATGATGTGATAGAAAAGAAAATCTCATTTTCTGAGGAGAAATTCAAGCCGGCTGCAAAAATTTGCATAAGTAAGGAGAAGTCAAATGTTAATTGCCAAGACAATGTGGAAAATATCTCCAGGTCATGTCAGAGGTCTTCAGAGCAGCCCCTCCCATCACAGGCCTGGAGGTCTCGGAGGGAAAAATGGTTTTGTGGGCTTGGCCTATGGGCCTTGCTGCTTTGTGCAGTCTCAGGACTTGGTGCCCTATGTCCCAGCCATGGCTAAAAGTGACCAAGATATAGACCAAGCCATGGCTTTGCAGGGTGCAAGCCCCAAACCTTGGCAGTTTCCACATGGTGTTGAGCCTGCAGGTGCACCAATATCAAGAATTGAAGTTTGGGAAGCTCTGCCTAGATTTCAGAGGATATATGGAAATGCCTGAAGTCCAGGCAGAAGTTTGCTGCAGAGGCAGAACTCTAATGTATAGCCTCTGCTAGGGCTGTGTGGAGAGGAAATGTGGGGTTGGAGAACCCACATTGAGCTCCCACTGGGTCACTGCCAAGTGGAGCTGTGAGAAGAGGGCCACTAGACCCACCAGACCCCAGAATGGTAGAACCAATGAAAGCTTGCACCATGCATCTGGAAAAGCCACAGACACTAAATGTCAGCCTGTGAAAACAGCCAGGAGGGATGTAGTATCCTGTAAAGCTACTACTGGGAAGGCATGGTTGTGTTTTGAAATGTAAGTACATGAGATTTTGGAGGGGGAAGGGGTGAAATATCATGGCTTGATTGTGTCCCCATGCAAATCTCATCTTGAATTGTAGTTCCCGTTATCCCCATATGTCATGAGAAGAACCTGGTGGAAGGTAATTGAATCATGGAGGCAATTGCCCTCATGCTGTTCTTGTGATAGTGACTGAGTTCTCTGGAGATATGGTGGTTTTATAAGGAGATTTTCCCCCTTTTGCTCAGCACTTCTCCTTCCTGCCATCATGTAAAGAAATATATGATTCCTTCCCCTTCTTCCATGATTGTCAGTTTCCTGAGGCTTCCCCATCCAAATGGAACTGTGAGTCGATTACATCTCTTGGCTTTATAAATTACCCAGTCTCAGAAAATTCTTTATAGCAATATGAGAATGGACTAATGTACCTCTAAAACATTATCTCTGTTTGAGAGAGGAATAAGTTCCTTCTTAAATTCAAATCATATTCCAACCTCCCAGTGGCTCATAAATCCCAGTGGTATAATGTGAATGAATCTTGAAAGAACTCAGATTGACTCTCATAAGTATAAAAATATTGTTTTTAGACAATTTAAGGAAACTCAGTAGATTAAATAGCTTTTTTTTTTTTACATAATGGGAGCAATGTCAAGTTGAGTTGCAGCATCAAATATTTTTAGCAATATAAAGTGGTAAATAGAACAGTTATCTCACAGTACAGAGTAAAAATACAAAAGAAAGAAAAGAAAAATGCCAGGAACAAAAAAATCACGGAGATGGAGAACAGATCCAGAGTACCTGATTTTTTGAATAATGACAGTTACAAATTGAAAAAGAATGATGGAGGAAAAGTAATACAGTCAAATAGAATGGTTTGACTAGTCATTTCAAGATTTTTCACTAAGAGTTAAGACACATATTGAGATATATCCCATGAAATCTTCTTAATATCCAGGTGTATTAGTTTGCTCAGGCTGTCCTAACAAAATACCACAGATTGAGTGGTATAAATGATACAGATCTTTTTCTCACAGTTTTTGAGGTTACTATATCCAAGATCAAGATATTAGCAAGGGAGTTTTCATTCTGAGACCTCTTATTTTAGCTTATAGGTGGTTGCCATCTTGCAGTTTGCTCACATGGCTTTTTTGTGCATGTGTGTGTGGCAGAACATGGTGGAGAGAGCTCTCTGATGTCTCTTCTTATAAGGACACTTAACCTATTGGATCATGGATCCGCCTATATAAACTCATTTAACCTTAATTGTTTCTTTATGCGTCCCGTGTCCAAATACTGCCACACGGGGCATGGGGGATTAGGTGTTCAACATATGAAGTTTAGAGGAACACAAACATTCAGTCCATGACATGAGGGTAAACAGAATCTTAATGTTTCCAGATATGTAGACACATTATGTATAAAAGGGAAAGAGAGTGGCATTCAATTTCTAGTCGGCAACACCGGAAGATACAAAATTCTGGAATACTTCATAATATTAATGACAAACTGGCATGTTGCATGTTTTGCCACCTAATCTTATAAGTATTTTAAAAATATTGCTTTATAAAAATCCCACATTTAGCAGAAGTTACTAAGCAGTTACATCAGTTAGGAAGAGAAACTACTACACTACAACCAAATGAAAATTTAAGAGAAAACATATCTTAAGATAGGAAACAAAGAGCACAAAAGATTGTAAGTGACAAATCTAATAATTTATGTAGTTAACTAAATGGTGATGGTAATAATATCACTAGAAACTGAAATATAATTGTTCATTCATTCATAAAATCGAAGGGTCTGTAAGAAAAAACCTAATGGTCTGAAACTAAATTTCAGTTCTGAGTTAACAAATTAGGAGTTAGCTAGGATAGAAAAGGAAAGTAAGAAAGTGAAAGGGCCCTATAATCATGAGGTGGGGCTTAGTAAATATTTAATTTTAATCTATAGGTAAAATAATATTTGCTTTAAAAAGTCTATTAAAATATAAACAAGGCAGGGCACAGTGGAGCTCATGCCTGTAATCCCAGCACTTTGAGAGGCCAAGGTGGTTGGATCACCTGAGGTTCAGGAGTTAGAGAGCAGCTAGGCCAACATGAGGAAACACCGTCTCTACTAAAAAGACAAACATTAGTCGGAGGTGGTGGCGTGCACCTGTAGTCCCAGCTACTCAGGAGCCTGAGGCAGAAGAATCTCTTGAACCTGGGAGGTGGAGGTTGCAGTGAGCCGAGATCGTGCCATGGCACTCCAGCCTGGACAGCAGAATGAGACTCCATCTCAAAATAATAATAATAATGATAATAATAATAATAATAAAATAAAATATAAAGGATTATTCAAATGCTTCTAACACAAAAAATTCTGCTACATCCTATTTAAAAGAGACACAAATACAAATAATAAGAAAAGGCTGAAAAGAAACAAAAATAATGGAGACGTGTATCAGGCAAAATAAATTTAAAATAAATCAAGAGCAGCAATGATATAACTTCACTAAATGGACTTCAAGCCAAACCTATTATATGAGTTAATAAGGAATATTTTATAATAACAAATGGTATAACTGGCAAAAGTCAATGTTATTGACAATTACTTTGTACTCAACAATATGGCAGAAAACTAAACAGTCTCCTAGAGATGTATAGTGATGATATTTAAATATCTTGCACTTAACATGAAAGATGAAGTAGAGGAAACTTAAGTGAATAAGAAATACTATCTTGACCCATGGAGTCAATTAATTATGTATATAAATTATATACAATGTATTCATTATTATTTAAAATTATGTAACAATAATAATACCAATCACTATAAGCACATACCATGCATCAGTAGTATTCTAAATAAAGCACATACATTAAGTCATTTAATTCTCACATTTACCCTAGAGTATGTACTAACATATTCTCCATATTATAGATGAATAAACCTATGCGTGAGAAGTTATTTGCTCAAGATCCCACAGCTTTAATTGGAAGAGGGAGGATTTAAATACAGGCCAATTTGTTCAAGTGTCCATGAACTCAGCCATTTTGACAGCAAAAGCATAAACTAACACTAATCTACTTAGAAATCTCAAGAGGCAAAAAGAAATAGTCATCAATGTAACTCTTGGATCAAGAGATTAAAAAGTTGTCTTAAAAATTTATCTTATTTCAAAATGTTGGAAATTTTGCTAAGAAGTCATCAGAAGGAAAATATATCACCTTAGCTTTTTTAACAAATTAAAAAGATATATATGCCAATTCGCTTGATTTAATTAATTCTTAATTAAAAACATATCAAAACACCACATTTTACTCCTTAAATACAATTATCATTTTCAATTAAAAATAAATTATATTTTAAAAGTTGAAGAAATAATCCATAAAGCTTTTTTAACTATAACAGAATGGGACTGACATAAAAGTGAACAAATGAACCTGTTGAAAAGTACAGCATTAAGATACATCCAAATATAGCTGGGGACTTAATATATAAGAATGGTGGCATTTGAATTTTGTGGTTAAAAAGCAGATCATTAATAAAAGTGATTAGAAAATGTCCTATGTATTAATTTAAAAATAAATACAATTTTGAAACTACATATGAAATAGAAAAATCAAGACTGACTACTAAAATGTAGGCAACAAAATTTAAAATATGTATATATATATAAATACACACACACAAACAAACATATATTTAAAAGTCTGGACAAAATGTTCACAGTAGGCAGAATTTAGTAATTTAAGTCATGAAACCCCAAATAAAAAAAGAATGTCTTGTCTTATATAAATATACAAAAATGTATAAGTTCTATAAGATAAAAAACAAAGCTAAAATGCAAATAAGAAATTAAGATAATATTCATAATATATTAAAAAGACCAATATACTAAACATATAAAAAGCACCTACAATTTGCTTACAAAAAGAGAATGATTTTTACAATAGGCAAAGATAATATAAGACCAGCCTGTGAAAATTGCTCAGCTTCACTATTAAGGACATACAAATTAAGTAATAATAGTCTCCTTTGTTTATTACATTGACAAAAATTTCAAATAATTTCAGTATCCATACAGCATCCAGCTTATATATATCAGGATATACAAAAGTTGATCAACAGCATATATAGCTTCTTCTTTGCTACTTGGTCTCACATTAGTCTTCCAAATTATTGTACCAGTTTATACTCCACAATCAGTACATGAGAGCCCCTTACCATAAACATATGATTGTATCAAGATTCCATTTTTTGTCAATCATATGACTATGAAAGATGAAGTAGAGTATGAATAATATTTTTTAAGTTTTTATTTTGTATAACTCATTGTCAGTGAGTTTTAGCATATTTCATATGGTTATAAATTACTCTGGTTTTCTGTGTGGTGAATCATTCATTTATATCCTTTACTCACTGTGTGATTGTGTTGTTTGCAATTCCTTTATTGATTTGAAGTTGTGTTCCTTTCCAAACAGAACTCATTTGATCTCCTCATTTGGAGCAAATTCCTACAAAGGCTCCTGATTCACTGAATGTAAAAGTCCTATCCCTAACCATGACCTACAAGGATCTACATAGTTTGAGCTCTGTCCCATCTTACCCTCTTTGACATCCTCAACTATTAATCACCTCCTCCTTTCTCCTTCCACTCCAGCCATACTGGCTTCTATATTTCAAATGCACCAACAAGTTCTAACGGTAGAGCTTCTGCAACAGTTCTTCTGTCCACCTGAAAAGTTTAGTACATGGAAAGCCAATATCATACTTTCATAAGTCTTTGCCTGGATGTAATATTCTCAATGAGGTCTACTCTGACCACTCGGCCCCAAACTGCGATTTATCATCCAACTTCATACTCGCAATTTTCATTACCCTGCTCTGGTTGCCCTTCCACCCACCACCTGCCCCCTGCAATATAGCACATCACTTATCTAATATCTTTAGTCTCTCTTAGTTAGAGTATAAACTCCCAAAAGGTTGAGATCTTCTTTTCCTTTGTTTGTCTATTTATCCTAAGAGCCTATGAAAATGCCTGATATAAAACAGGTATTTAATAAATAAATTTTAAAGAATAAGTGATTTTAATGATGTATGCATTTACACAGGTTTTTTGTTTGTTTCTTTTACTTTAAACATGTATTTTAAACTCTTCTATGCACTCTTTGGCAATTTTTTTTAGCTTTATTCATGGTTCCTCTTGCCACACAGAAGTTTTAAAAGATGTATTTTAATGTAGCTAAATTAATCAAACCTATTTCTAATTGTGTTTTCATATTTTGTTTTTAATATTTTAAAGTTTTGCTTTCAACATTTAGTTTTTTCTGTACATATAATCCATTTTAATGCGTGGTATTGAACTTTTTTTTCATATGAAAGACCAATTATCCTAGCACAGTTGTTGAAGGGTTCATTCTTTCTCCACTGAGTTTTTACCACCTCTGTTATATGTTAGTTTTCATATATGCAAGGATCTATTTTTCAGCTCTTTATTTTGTTCAATTTCTCTATTTTTCTATTCCTTTTTATCATGTTATTGGCAAATAAAGAAAGATTTTTTTTCTTTCCTTCTTATACTTATGGACTGGCTCCTATTTAATCTTGAGTATTTTTATATATTATTGTATAGATGCAGAATATATATAGACACACTTAACTGCATATACATATATAATATTTTACTTATAGTACTAATATTATCAATTATCAAAACAGTATTTTTAGAATGAGCATTTTACTTCATATGTAGAAGTCATGTTCTAATAATCTCAGAGGCCTTGACTCTGAAGGTATTTTACATATATGTACTCTTTTAGATATGAAATAACAGAAGGCACAGCATGATATAATGAATGATACTTTTGCAAGGACATATTCTGTATTTTCTATTTGAAAATTATTTTAAAAGATTTTAGCAATTCAAATGTGCAATATTGCCCAATGATTAGAGACATAATTATTTCTACTATAAAGGAATTTTTAAGTGAAGGAATATAAAATCCCTTAGTAGAGGAGATATGATCAAATGGGGATGTTACATTTGTGATTATAATTCTCTTGAAATCAATATTTGAGAAATGTTTTCACACCAGTTACTAAATGGATTATTGATTATGAAACGCCTTAAATCGTTTTCAGGGTTGATCAATTGGTAATATATCCACATAATATTCAGACAAAGACCACTGTTTCCAGGCTTATGCTTTTCTAATTTAGAGAGAAATCAGAATCAAAATTTTTGCTCAATATTTATTTATAAATATAGAATGTATCAGCTTCTATCCTATTGACAACATAGCCCATCATTTATTAAACAAATTAGAGCACCTATTGGGCACCAGGAAGTGAGTTAGACCCTGAGCGTACAATGGTGAGGAACAGAGGCAGATGCTCTGCCTTTATGGAATTTGTACTCTAGAGGAAAATGTACAGAGAGAACAAACCTTGAGGGGAAAGCTGGAGACACAGAGAGACACAGGTGAAAAGTCCATGTGACTTTGGAGGCAAATGTTAGCTAGATTTACCTACAAGCCAAGGAACACGAAGAGTTGCCGGAACCCAAAAGCATGGAACAGATTCTCACTCAGAACATTGAGACAAAGCATAATCCTATTGACAGCTTGATTTTAGACTTTCAGCCTCCTGAACTATGAAAGAATGCATCTTTGTCATTTTAAGTTGCCTAGTATGTGGTACTGTGTTCCAGCAACATTTGGAAACTAATATAGTTAGTCGCTATTATTATTCCGTTTAAAGACAAAGGAATCAAGGTCATGTAATTAAGTGATTTATTCAGTTAGAGAATTAGAAAGTGGTGAAATTGGACTTTTAGTCTCAGACAGTTGGACTCAAGAGCATACCTTTTAACCATTTTGTAATCTACCTGTATGAATACATAAACCTAATACCTATTTTGTAGCCAATATTTATTGCAATGCTATTATGTGTCCAGAGCCATTCTAAACATTATCAGTGCAACAGTAAACAAAACAGAAAAAGCATTTACAGTTTGTTATAGTAAGAGAAGCCAAAAGAGTTAAGAAAAAAACTATGTGTTATTTTATATATTAATATTAAAAGGAAAACAGACAGATAACGGGGATAGAAAGTTGTGATAGCAGATGGGACTTCCAAATTGTGTGTTCAGAGAAGATTGCAAACTTCATATCACATTTGAGTGAGTTTTGAAAAAGGAGAAGAAAAACGTATATTCATATCTGGGACAACAGAGTACCAGACTGAGAGAAAAACAAGTACAAATGTCCTAAGATATAAGTACCAAACAATTAAAAATGTCTTAACGTACGCCTGGGTATTTGACGAATTAGCAAAACGCCATTTTAGGTGGAATGAGGTATAATGATTAGTAGAAGTTGTGGTTAGGGAAGAGTTAAAGGAAAACATTAAAACTGAAGATGTGTATTATTGCATAAATCCATAAGATTGT
Organism: Homo sapiens; assembly: GCF_000001405.40. Classification (NCBI taxonomy): domain Eukaryota; kingdom Metazoa; phylum Chordata; class Mammalia; order Primates; family Hominidae; genus Homo; species Homo sapiens. The sequence continues at coordinate 93,897,345 of NC_000006.12, read as the reverse complement.
ATACTCATGCAATGGAAGATTGATAGAAAAATGGAGAGACCCATAGGCTAAGTTATGAACACCTCCAATTTTAAAAGACCAGGGAGATGAGCAGGACCCGACCCAGCAAAAAGAGAACAAAAAGTAGATGTCATTTAGTAATTAGAATATCCAAGATATGTTGATCTGGAAGACAAGTTTATTCCTCTACAAGGAAGTCTTACATATCAAGGAAAATAGCAACTCAAAATATGTATGAATAATCCTTATATAAAAATTTCTAGCTATACTTCATATTCATAATCTATGCATGTACAATTTTATTCAGAAGTATCGCAAGAAGAAAAAAAGGCCACTTACCATAGTTTTCAAAACCACTTAGTTCATAAAATTTTGTAACATTTTCTTAAAGGAATACAGACAACAATTCAACAAAGCGGTACAGATCAGTTTCTATGTATGATGGGAATCGTAAGGCTGATAAAATGAATATTATTGCATCATTTCTTCCTTTTAACTCTTCATTTCTCCTTAGGATGGAGTGGCCATTATTCCCCTACATTACTTGCTTTGGTTGTCTACATTTGGTTGCCTTCATATTTAGTCAGTGTCTTGATACTGGTAGGTATATTGGCTTCTTACAACAGGATATATTTTTAAAATAACAGTGTAATATTTGATTTTCTTTGACATTTGATTTAATTTTCAAACATTATAATTGTGAGCAAAGGTCAGAAGTATTGTCTGTGATTATGAAGCATAGGAAAGCCAATGGATTGATGTAAGATTAGAATTATAACCTTGACATTCTTCACCTAATTAACATTGTACTGTTAATATCTACTATTCACAAGTAATAAGGAGTATTTTGTAGTTCTAGATTAAGTACCATTTTATACATTTTATCAGTGACCTAGATAAATAAATGTGTGGGTTGGCTAGCCCTTTAGAGGAGAAGATTATAATTCAAATCGACCTTCACAAGTTGGAAGAGTAGTCAGAAATAATGAAAATCTTGAGGTCAGGTATAAAGCAGGAACTACTCTAAGGAAAAAACATGATACATATAAGACAGAGAATGACTAATTAGGCATGAATGTGGCAGAAAAGAACATAGAGATCACAGCAGACACAATTTGAACATAATTCAGCTCAGCAGCATTATTTTAGCAGTTTGAACACATAATGCTGAAATCTACTATTTCAGCAGGCCATTCTGATTAAAAATTATAAGATAAAACTTCAACTACATTTTACATTGATCAGTTTAATGTTAAAACAGTGTATCAAACTTTGGACAAGTGAAATCTGGAGAATTCATAGAGGACCCAAAAGACAGAAGTAAGATTAAGTGATTAGAAAATGGAATTTCAAAGAGGCAATAACATTATTTCAGTTGTTGGATTGTAAAGTAGTGTGAGTAGTGATTTAATAACTGTCTTCCAAATCAAAAGTGGTGCTTTTATGAATTGTTGACCAGCTGCTTTCAACCTTCATTGTGTTCAGAATTTTTGTTAGAATTTCAGCAAGGATAATATAAATTGATGGTGAAACAAATCATAGCTTAAGAAAAAAATATAACCTGACATTGACTTGCAGGTCTTATTGTTAATTTTTATTTTATGAGAATCAAGGTGTGGGTTCAGGTGTATAGACAAAGGTCTGAGCAGCAACTTCTCCCAACCCCCCTTCTTTCCTCAACTCAACGTTGGTCATACGTAGTTTAGCATCCCTCTATACCAGTACACATTTTATTAGGGACCAAGTCATTAATTATTATGTTAGTTTTTTCGGTACTAATTGATACAAGCAAACAACATATTAAGAATATTAATATTAACTTACAAAAAATCAATCACAGAGAGATAAGTTGAAATTTATCTCCCAAATGTAGTCTTTACTTTCATATATGAATCATAGTTAAAACTTTTCATATTCAGTTTTCCACTCTCAATTTTGACCTTTTAGAAAGGCCTAGTGTCATGTGGAAACAGAATAAATTATGTCACTGATGTGATTTAAGTGATTTCAAAAATGTGCTTAAAAATATGTCCTTCATATTATTCTACTGGTTTGCCCTTATGTTGAAACTCTTCACCACTGATATCATACTTTCAGGCACTTATTGAGAAGATTTTATATTTTAAGTGGGCTAAAGGATTGTTATTTAGGAGGTGCCATGTATTTAGCTAGCTGTGAATTTGACATGCAGTAGTCCCCCCTTATCTGTTTGGAAAGTGTCCCGAGACCCCCAGTAGATGCCTGTAACCACAGATAGTGCCAAAACTTATATATACAATTTTTTCTATACACACATACTTATGATAAACAATCACGTTTTCATTTAAAGCGAGCACCTTACAGATTGCCTTTGGCAATCTAAATTGCCAGCATCACTATTCTTGTGCTTTGGGATCTAAAATGATACCATGACAGTCGATCTGATAACCAAGACAGCTACTAAAGTGACTAATGTGTAGGGACCCTACATGGCATGTCTATACTGGACAAAGGGATGATTTGCATCCCAGCTGAAATGGTGCTAGATTTCATCAGGCCACTCGAAATGGCACACACACAATTTAAAAATTAGAAGTGGTTTATTTCTGAAATTTTCCATTGAATATTTTTGGGCCAGAGTTGACCATGAGTAAGAAACCACAGAAACTGAAACCACAGATAAGATGGGACTACAGTACATCATTTGTTTCCCAACTAAATTTGGTACCTTTAGTTGTTTCCCCTGGCACCAGCAATTTTAGGGTTTTAAGATCATTATTAGTTGGAGAGATAATTTCTAGTAGGTAGGGAAGAAAAGAATTAGGTCTACCTGGAAATCTTGGGTCCTGCCCACATTAAGGGCAGAGAGCCTTGGAGGCATAGGAACACAGGCCATAACGGAGATAGAAGAGATCTGAAAAGATGAATCAGAAGATTTTTAAGCTATCACTTATTTCAATATTTTGCTAAAGGTCAGCCATTCTTATAGATGTGCCATAGACATGGCAGGGGTTACCAATGCAATACTTTATTTTCTTAAAAGATGCTAGTAGCATATTATGTAATATTAAAATTTTCAGTGATTGGGGGAGGTCACATTTTTGACATCTCCTGTGAGTTCTCAGGGAAGAAGTAAGTGGAAAGCAAGGTGAAAATGATATTCTTGAATATGCTACTTTTCTCTGAAACCACATAAGAAGCATGTAAATTGTTTTTTAATAAGTTATAGCCATATCGGTGTTGAGAACTGAAAGCATTCTGGCCTTCTGTTTTACTCCAAAGTAATCATCTTCTTTTGCCTTAAAACATTTTTAAAATAAATCAAATAAAAAAGAATTATACAAAGGATTTTATAATAATTTCAGAGTCTTTTAAACAATTCTGAGGAATATTAGCATTTTGATAGCTGAATAAGTCAAACACCATATGCCCAATTTCTCCTCACTGATTTTGAATCTTCTCAGTGCTGGATTTATTGACTACCTAACCAGTCATTCTTCAATAACTTCAAAAATCTTGACGTATAAATGGGAAACATATTAATTTTAACATTCAGGCCAGTGAAATTCAATCACATGTGTCAATGTATATTTCTAATGTGTAGCCCATACTTTCCTGCCTTCACAGAGCTTAATGTCTATAGGGAAAGTAGACCATGAAGCAAAAAATTATTCTACAGAGTGGTAGATGTTTGTAGTAGATAAGAGGAGTGGCATGAAAACAGACCAAGTAATTTCAGGAAACCTCACGGAGGAAATACTTTACACATGAAACAACACAGCTGCACACACTGTGCCATTTATGCCTTTCATACTTTTGTCCCTGCTGTCCCTTTTGCTGGAATGTTGTCCTTTTTTCCACTGTCATCCCAGTGTCATGCCTTATTTCCATGAAGTCTGAGTTCAGGTGCCTTTCCTATAATACCTCAGGGCCCAAAATGCCCACATTTCTTTCTCTGCATGGCTGCATCAGGTTTTAATTATCTGTATATATTTCTGCCTCTCAGGCTAGACCTCTTCACAGGGTTAAGATCTGTTTTGTTCATTTTTTATATCTACATAGAAAATAATAAATAGCCCTCAACTAAGACAGAAATGAACGTGAGAATATTTGCAATGATGAGAGTTGAAGAAAACTCAAGTCAAACAATTAGCTTGAGACAAAACAAGAATTTAATAGTTCTTGAAACTCAAAAACACAGAGTTTCAGTTCTTGCTTGAACCAGGAAAAAAAAATTATCATTTATATTCAGTCTTTCTGTATTTTTTGTCTCTCCCTCTCTGCATGTTGACTTCGTTCTCAGGCAAACTTAAATTGCTATAGGATAAAGGATACTTTCTCCCTCCTTCTCTCTCTTTCTCTTAAAAATTCTTATAAACATCTTATTGTGTTTAAGCGGTTCTAGACGGTTATTAGAATTTCCTCCAGTGGCAGGGTAAAAGAAAATAATAATAATGTGCCTTCACAACATATCCACACTTAGAACTAGGAAGTCTGTCAATTCTAAGTATGGAAAACTGTGAAACTGTTGTTTGTTTCCTTGCTTGTTTCCCCCAGAGGAAAATATTGAGTCTGTGACCAGAATTAAAGTATTCTGTCAGAAAGCAATTGTTAAATACATTACATTTTCTTTTCCTCTTCATTATTCATTTAGTTTACTACATCACAAAACTAGTAATTATAGCCATTAAGACCAATCAATAAGCTCCAAGACAATAAAAGGGGAGGGGAATAAGGATTAAATTTGATGTATAATTGGGCATTATCTTAAAAAGAAAACTGTTAATAATTTAAATAATTTTTTTGGTTGAAAACTACCTAACACTTCCTGTTCCTCTTTTATTAAATTGTGAAAACATTTACTTCTAACATTATTAGTCACTTTCTGTGTGCTACAGTGAGTGATTAGAGAGACCAAAATTTAAAACAAAGGACCTCAACTTATATGAGGAAAATAATAAGTTTGTTTATGAAGACATTAAATTTTAGATAAATGTTTAGTAGGAAAAGGGTTATTTGGTACCTATTACGGGCCAACTATTGCATGTGAATTAGTGAGCCAAAGTCCCCAGTCTCGTGGAATTTATATTCTAATGATATTAAGAGACATTCAAGTTTATATTCATATGGCAATTGGATATGTAACTGTACCTCAGTGGAGATGTTTATGCTTGAGATATGTACTTGAGAGTCATTCACATCATCATCACCCTCCTCCCGGTGAGAATTTATGAGGTGACACAAGTCTATTTCCACCTCTTACTACCTCCAGTCTCATTTCTCTGAGTTGACTTTACGAGTTCTATTCTTGTTGTTGTTCTTCTGGTGGTTACCTCTATAATTCTAAATATTATAGTTATTCCTCTTTTCTTAATTTATCTGCTCAAGACAATATCTCTTGAATCTCTAAAAAGAAAGATGACATTTGAACTCACTTGTATTATTCCCTGTAATATGTGATCACCTATTTCTAAATTAAAAACACTTTCAAATCCAGAAGCATTTAATTGTTCCTCATTGCTTACTGAATTATGTAGCGAAACGTGATTTTGAAATTCAATGTCCATTAGCACTCAGGTCATTCATTTACTAGAATTCACCACTACTCTACATAGAAAGTTTCTTCTGCCAGTGGTTATTTTGTTGCCTGATCAATGTTTCCACCACTTTGATTTTTCTCATAATATTCCCTTTTTTCATTAATCTCCACCTGTTGAGTTCCCACACGTTCTTTCATGTCTAGCTCAGACATTATTTCCTTTGACAAACCTAGTATCTCCTAACCATAAATCAACTCCCTGACTTCTTGAACCTCATAGACTTTCTTCCACCTTATTCATTTTATTTACTTATTAATTTAATTAGTTAATTTATTTATTTTGATACAGGGTCTTGCTGTGTCACCCAGAGTGGAGTGCAGTGGTATGAACACAGCTCACTGCAACCTTGACCTTCTTGGCTCAAGCGATCCTCCTACCTCAGCCCCCTGAGTAGCTGAGACTACAGGCGTGCACCACCTCGCTTGGTTACATTGAAAAATTTTTGTAGACACCAGGTCTTGCCATATTGTTCAGTCTGGTCTCAAACTCCTGGGCTCAGACAATCCTCCCGACTTAGCCTCCAAAAGTGCCAGGATTCCACATGTGAGCTACCAGGTTCAGCCTTTCCACATTACCTATAACATGTATTATATGCTTTTGCTCATAATTATTTCACAATTTAATTTTTCTTAATTAAATTGCAAGCTTCTTAGAATCAGGGTCCAGGTCATCTATATAATTTTATTCCCTAGAGTGGCCTTGTGCAATATACTCTACATATTGGTTGATTAATAACTATTATTTTACTATTGAATGAATTTATGCATAAATATTAGGATCTTCCTGATATTAAAAGATGTTCTCAAGTCTTATTTAACTATGTAATATGTTATAATGTAGCTAACCTAAAAATATACATATTGTCAGAAAAATATATTAATGGAGCAGAAAGAGAACTGGTAGTATTTGATAGACAGCTACCAGCTCATAATCACTATTTACGTTTGGAATTTTAAAATATCAAGGAAATTAATTAAAATTTGAATTCTTGGGCTTTGATTGTCAAAACAATTATACTTTCCACAGAGCCTTAAGGGAAGGAAAAAATTTCAGAACAGTTTAATTTATGTTTCCAATGTTTAAGTTCCTAGGAGAGGCAACTGTAGGTGATTATTGGTGGAAGAAAAAATTTCACATTTTGATCAGAAATCATATCATTCAATTAGATTTCTCTCACGGGAAGTAAAATAAAAGCACATTTATCTATATATGTTTGTTATTTTTGATAAGAAAACCCAGAAAGGCACCCTACAAACTACTTCTTTCTCTTACTTTTAGCAAACTATTCTGTAAGGAACATTTTAAGAAAGATAAATTTTGGAAACCTTTGTAAATGGATAGAAATGAAAAGAAACAGAATAATAAAAGAGATAAAGGCTAAAGTGAGCGAAACACCAAATGAGACCAAAAAAAGGCAACATGAGCATAGATTGCTCTAGTCTATGTTGTAGGACCGGTGTTTCTCCCCATCAAGTCTTCCAGCATTTTCAAACCACCTGGAAATTAGTCATTGCAAGATGCCTACTGGAGGCTTTCAAAGCCATAGGGAGTGTTGCAAGAAGGTGGAAGGAAGATAGTCATCATGATGTTTATATTTCATTTTTCATCTGGGAAATGTTTCATCAAACTTTATGAAAGGGAAAATTCGTTATAAAAACAACAACAACAAAAAAAAACCACCAGACCTGTGGGCTAGGCATCAGAGAAGGCCATCTTCTCATAAACGTAGCACTGAAATAAACGACTTTTTCAATCCATGCAGGGAGTATGCTATCATACCAAGCTTTCTTTTCACTAGGTCTCCCCTTTGTAAGTCAAAACATGGGGAAGCCAATGAGCTTACAAAGCTGAGCAGTGATGGTTCTAGCTCCTCACCTCACCACACATTGCTCTACATTGAGTGATTTGGGCCCAGTGTAACATTATCCTATATGGAAAACCAAAAAGGCTGTATCACAGGTGGTAATGCCAAAATTCCAACAATTTGCTTTTTCAAGTAAAGGTCATATGTCACTGTAATTAAAAGCAGTTTCAGGGAACTGGGTTTTAGAAAAACTAAAATAACACTTTGTAACATATTATTTTTAATTGGTTTAAGTTAAAACACGATTTGTTAATTTTATTCACAGGTTTTGATTTAAAATCCAGCTATATCCAGTTTCTAAATAAAAGTGTTAGAGCGTATTTTAAAATAATTTTAAAACTAATAAATTGCTATAAAATCTGACTTTGTTATGCATGATTTGTGCCAATCAACAACCACAAGCCACAGGATTGGCATTCTAAGAACTCTAAGAATATGTAAAGGAAAAGATGATGTTAAAGCACAAACAAACACATCATTATTTGGCTCAACTTGGATGCATAAATAAATCAACAAACTTTTTATTTTGCATTCTTCATCATTTTTTTCCCATTCAAAAGATAGTCACCTTGAGCCTGAAACTTGGGAGTCTTTCTGGATTCCTCCCTTTCCTATGGCTTCTATATTAAATAGGCCTGTCAAAATTTATTGCTGTGTCCTAATAGCCCTGGAATTCGTATTTCTCCATTTCTACTTCTAGTGCTTACTCCAATTCCTCTTTTTTAAATCAAAATGATTACAATAGTACTTTTCCGGTCTTGCTCTTTCTAATGTTTGTCCAGACCCACTCAGGACCAGCAAATGAATTGTAGTGTCCATCTGTGTGAAAATAGTATGAAAAAAAAAACAGTTTCAAAACACTGAAATGATGTACATTTAAATGCTGTGTGAATAATATGATTTAATTTATGCCATCATCCTTATATTTCTTATACATTGCATGTTTTCTAATATAATTGCAAATGGTTTTACTTAAGAAAAATATTACTATTGCGAATGAATTATCTATCACTTGAAACTGATCAGGCACTTACTTGTAATTATCCAGGGGCACACAATTATTGACACAAACAGCAAAGACCCCCAATGGGAAAATAAGACATTTAGATCTGACTTCTTCCAATATTTTGGCTATATTTTGTGTGGGTTAAACATATAACTTATGGTCCAAACCAAGACAGATTAATAGGGAAAGAGTTCCTCTTAAGAAATACAACTGAACAGCTGGCCTAAACTGAGACTGGCCAAATAAATAAAAGATATTTCTCACTGGGCTTTTTTCTTCTTTGTTCATCTGTGTGAAGGGGGGGGCAAATAATTATTTTTGCTTTTAGTTTTTCTTCATATTTTAGCTTATGTGCATTATTTATAACTGGAAATAATCTTCTTCTTACTCATTGGGATATCTTTCTCCTTAATTTGTATTCTCCAAAGTCCAAATATATGATATGATACAGATACAAACTTATTTAAAATTATTGGGTGTAATTCTGAATTATTCCAGTAGAATGTAAGCTCGATGTGGGTAAAAATGTTTGCCCAGCTTTCTTTTTATTGAGGGAGTAAACACCGTGCACAAGTGTAACAAATGTCCACCACAGTTGAAGTTCAGATTTTGAGATGTCTTAAATGTTGTCTGTAGATGAACCAAGGCTTCTGTATCATATTAAGATTTTTCTAAACCTCAAGTGATGAGCTTTGTCTGGCTACTGACCTTGTATAGAGCTCTGGTTTCCCTAGTCTCAAATTGAATTGGAGAGCACCTATTTCATTAATAGTGTTAACCATGATGACTTGAAAGTACCTGACATATAATAAACATTCAATAAATATTTGTTGAATGAGATAGGTTGATTAAAGGTAAAATGATCAAAAGAGCTTCCATGAGGTTATTATTGTTATTCTTTTTTGAGACAGGGTCTCCCTGTTACCCAGGCTGAAGTACAATGGCGCAAGGCAATCACGGCCATGAGGTTGTTATTAATACTCTTATTTTTGAAAAACAAAACTTTATTTACTGTACTTACTTAAATAGTGTTTTGCTAAATGTCTATTGTGCAGATTTGTCATAAGTAAAATAATTAGAAAATTTAGAACTAGGGAACAGATTGGAGTTCATATCATTCAAACTTACAAATTTTATAGACAGGGAACTATAGGCCAGGACGTGAATATGAGCACAAAGCATGTTAGTAGCTGAATGCTAATTAAAGCTCAGGTCATAATTGTACAGCGTTCTCCACTCCTTATATGGCCTTTACTTTCTCTTCACTAAAAACAATGTCTGCATCTGAATAAAGTATGGACTTTAATTAATAACATTATATCAATTGGTTATTTAATTGTGGCAAATGCATGGTTCTAAGGTAACATATAAAGTATAGGAGAAACTCATTGTGGGTGTACAGGAAGTCTGTATCACCTTTGCACATTTTTGTACATCTAAAACTTTTCTGAAAAATAAAGTTTGTTTTTTTAAATGTCATTTGTATTCAGCATAAAGATGGGTAAATAGATTCCTAACATAGTCTATAAATACTGCCCTTGTTAAAGAGATGAAACTGAATATTAACAGAATCAGTTGTAATCCAAATACACTATTTCCAGTCCAGGAACTGAAATTTCTAAACAACTCTTGTGTGCTTTCCAACTGTAACATATTTTATATGTCCTTGTATATTCCTACATATAACTGTGGTATTGGCTTACCCTGCCAGAATTAGTTAATTAATATAGTCACATACAGAAGATGCTTGTTTTAATATTATGAACCAAAAAGCCATGTAATAACCATCAACTAATACCTGCTGCCTCTGTAGTTTTTGTTGACACTAAAGTCCACTTACCTCATGAGTAAATTTTGAGAAGTAAGAATACTGTTGACATCATATTTAGATGATATGGAGCTGTTCTTCATACCAAACGTGACCCAAAACAAAAAACTAGCAGAGTCTTTCTACTGTTGCCATCTTAGGCCACCAAAGAAGGCAAAGAAAATGTGTTTAAATATATATATTTTTTTCATTTTAAGTTACTGATTGGACTTTCCACTGGTATTTGTGGACACACCATTTTAAAACTTATAATAAAGAAATTGAATCAAGACAACTTCTCACCAAGGTAATCAGCTTTCCCTTTGTAACTCTTTTAATAGGATTTTACTGGGTAAAGTTTTGGAATATTTCTCCATATTTCGTATCCGGGCTCAACCTAATGTTTTTATAACTTTGTGTACATGTCAAAGGTCCTCTGCGGGAATTCTGTGGGAAATATGCAGACTGACCTGCACATAAGGAACAAGGAAAACATCACAGCATGGGATGGGATGGAAGTTAAAATGAAATATTTGCAGTTCTGTGCATGATTCTTTTAAAATCTTCCATAGGAGGTCTGCGTTGTGCTGACAGAGGAGTCACATTTTTTGGGTTAGAATGCTGTTTAGAATTAGACATTGTCTGAGCATGTTTCTGCCCAGATTTAGAATCCATTAAATATTGGGTAAAATAACAGTGGTATCTGAGACTTCGTCACTTAAATCAATTTTCTTTTGCTGTAACACACCAAAGTTAGGGTAGGAGAGATAGATTGTCCCTTCCAATCTCTGTTAACTGATGTCTTAGTAATAAATGGAAGCTAAAATGTGCTGTCAAGAGGTAGATGTCAAATCATCACTGCTATGCGATTAGCTGCCAACATTATCGCTGATTGTTGCCTTTAACAACAAAAAGAATGTTGATGTGAAGTTATGGGAAGCTCTATTTGCTTAAGTTCTCTGAGATCTATTAAAGAGGTCTACTCCTTAAAAAAAGTTCCACTATAGTTTAAGTATTTAATTTTTTAATAATCTAACCATTATATGTTGTGAAGGTTAAGAAAAAAAGTGATTTAAATGAGAATCATTGAAGAGATCATGAGAGATCAATGCAAGTGATATGTTGTTTGTTGTCTCACATGATTTCTATTAATTTTATTTTTGAGTTATCAGCTACACTCAGCTCTTAACATATTTCAAAAGGAAGGCAGGAGAAATAAATGAAGCAAAGTAAGGAGGAAAAAAAAAAAGGAAGCCCATTACTGCCATCCTAGAGTTAAAGGGAATTGTTAAGAACACAAAACGACTTTAAAAGAGATAGTATTAATAGGAATTGTTGCTTTATTTTTACCTGCTGACAATAAGTGTTTATCATTAAAATTAGGCTGCAAAACAGATCACAGTTTGAAAATTCATGCTGGAGTTTCAGTAAATGATGTTCACTATTATTTCTACCTCTATTTATACGTATCTAAATGTGACTCCTCTGTCAACACAACACAGAATCTTGCAAATCCATGTTCTAAGATTTATCAGAGTCTACTGAAATGACAGAGAAATGATACATCCACTTGTAGCTCTTTCCACTTATTGACTGACTTAAGTACATCCTTTAAGTTTTGCACTATTCTTCCTTGAAATAGTTATTATTATGATTTCCCTTATTCCAAGGGTCTAATAGACTAACAAATGTAAAATCAGTAAATTTAAAGATGTTTTTAAAACTAGGGTAAATATTTACTGATGGCTAATTGTTTATATGACAAGCACTTTCTGGCTCTTAGAAATATTTGACAAAAAGTATTTGATACAGGATAGTAAAGTTTACTAACACATTAATAATAATAACACTAAATTGATAATCCACTAACTTTCTGATTATGGATGAGTATCAGAATCAGGAGAGATGCACTGATAAAACAAAACAGGCCGGGCATGGTGGCTCACGCCTGTAATCCCAGCACTCTGGCAGGCCCAAGTGGGCAGATTACCTGAGGTCAGGAGTTTGATACCAGCCTGGCCAACATGGTGAAACCCCATCTCTACTAAAATACAAAAATTAGCTGGTCATGGTGGTGTTCGCCTATAATCCCAGCTACTTGGGAGGCTGAGGCAGGAGAATTACTTGAACCTGGGAGGCAGAGGTTAGAGTGAGCTAAATACTAACCTTCACAAAGAAAGTTTATATTCCTTGTCCTTAATCCTCTGTGATACTGTAATGCTGTGATACTATTTTATTCATATTCCATCTCTGTTCTTATTTCCCAATCTTATTTTCTTTCAACTTTCAGCACTTACTCCTAAGAAATTAAGTTATATTGTGTCCTTTCTCAAAATTCATGTTTGAGAATAATTTTCTTAACCCTATGAAGATCCAAGTTGGCTATCTCTGAAAATACTTTAAGTATTCAAACAATTGTTGATTAAATATTTATAGGATATATAGTTTTTAGCAGCAGCAATAGAAATGTAATTATTCTATAGATGAACTGTTTCAATAGGTTAATGGCACTTGGGAAACTCTAGGTAATATACTAGGAAACTTTAATTATCTTTTTCACACAAAAATTAACACAAAGCTTTACTGTGTCAAAATGTGGAGGTAAGGATTTAAAACAGAGTTAGGGACAGCTTCCTTAAGCAAAGTTATTTAAATCTACAAAGCAAGTAAGTACCTTGAGTTGGACTCAGTACAGGGCACAAACAAGTAAAGACAATTTAGCTTTAATAAATATTGATCACTTCACAAGTCAACATTAAGATGAATGAGTAAAAATTTTAAATAACATGCTTAGCAACTTTTGAAAAGGAAACTATAGTAAAATATAAGCCATTAAAATTATTAAAAATAATAATTAGCTTTGAAATGAAAACTGAATGGATTATCTTAAAACACAATCTTTGTCATGTTATTTGTACCAAAAGGCCAAATGTTGAAAAAAGAAAGCACTTTTTACAACTCAAATTGCCAACTGCCAAGATAGATTGTCATTAAATTAAAAAATCATATTTTTAAAACGTGGGAGGGTGAATAAAATAAGACAGCAACTGTCATAAGCTAGATGCTGCACGAAATTGGAGAGATATTTTCACAAAGAAAAAATGGCTTAAATATAGCCATTCAAGTTCTAAAGCAAGCTTTTTTTAAAAAAAAATTTAAGTGTGAACACGTATTTGGTAAGCACTGTGTAAAAAGGGTGATATGAAGTAGGAGTAAATCCCACTGAATAGTTTTCACCAAATCTTCAGTGAAGAATTTTTTTGTGAATTCTTTTTAGTAATTATTTTTGAAAAATAAATAGGGACATATAATAAATTCATACAAATGTTTGGGATATTCTATTAGTCTTAATTAGGAAACTTGATAACAACATGATATATAAGTAAAAAAATCCAGGGTATCTTAAGAAATATCAGCATAAGTTTTCAAAAAGTTTCATAGAATTTGGAATTTTTATAAATCGCTATTATGCTTGAAGAATGACAGCTTGCTAACATGTTCCTACAACTACAAGATATTCTCCAGAAAATTTTCTAGGCAGATAACTCTCTAGAGCTACACTGTTCATATTGGTACTCAGTGGTCACACATGGGTATTTAAATTTAAACTTACTAAATTAAATTAAATTTCAGTCCCTCTATTGCACTAGCCACATTTCAAATGCTCAATAGCCATATGTCACCAATGGCTATTGAACTGGACAGCTCATATATAGAACATGGCCATAATAGCAGAATGCTCTATTGAACAATCCTGTGCTAGACAACTAGTGATACTCATTTCAAGCATATAGAATATATAAAAATTTCCAGCATCGTAGACTACTCATCTTCTATAATGATCTGTGGGAGAAAAGCAATTCTATTATTCATTAAGGAGGGAATTATGACTGACTGAGCTAAGAGATTTCTGAGAAGCTGTGTAAAAATGTGGGTAGGAGAGCAAATACACATAATTTATTGAAACTGGAATGTGAACACGCATGCACTGTTCACCTAAACTGTTTATTAAAAAGTGATTATATTAAAATGAATGATTCTATCAAATAAATAAAATACTGATCTTAGAAACCAAAGGAATGTAGAAGTGAATACAGAGATACCAACAAAGTGGAAATTCATTGATAAGCTCTAAAATTGTCTTAAATAAATAAATAAAACACAAACCTTCAAAGCACATTTGAATAATGTGACATATTTAGGGTAATTTATTCTAATCAATCTGAAATGATAATGTGTTCTAAAATATTAAATAGTTATTTGAGTCATTTTCTCTCCTGAGGAGAAAAGTTTTTCACATAAAGTCCAGAAAGATGATCAATCCTATACTGTTTCAGTGAATGATACACTAAAAGAATCAAAACCTAAAATACACTTTAAATTCATGTAACACATATAGAGTGTTTCTGTAACCTATAGAAAGCCTGCAACGCTAGATAAACTATAGCTCCTCTTGCAGTTCTGTTTTGCTTGCAACCGGGAGTGAATGATTTCTTTGATTCGCTAATATACTTTTTCCAAGGATACTCAGATAAGTAAAAAATGTAATTATAATTCCATATGAACTTTAAAGTAGTTTTTTCCAATTCTGTGAAGAAAGTCATTGGTAGCTTGACGGGGATGGCATTGAATCTATAAATTAACTTGGGCAGTATGGCCATTTTCGCGATGTTGATTCTTCCTATCCATGAGCATGGAATGTTCTTCCATTTGTTTGTGTCCTCTTTTATTTCATTGAGCAGTAGTTCGTAGTTCTCCTTGAAGAGATCCTTCACATCTCTTGTAAGTTGGATTCCTAGGTATCTTATTCTCTTTGAAGCAATCGTGAATGGGAGTTCACTCATGATTTGGCTCTCTGTTTGTCTGTCATTGGTGTATAAGAATGCTTGTGATTTTTGCACATTGATTTTGTATCCTGAGACTTTGCTGAAGTTGCATTGCCAAGTCAATCCTAAGCCAAAAGAACAAAGCTGGAGGCATCATGCTACCTGACTTCAAACAATACTACAAGGCTACAGTAACTAAAATAGCATGATACTGGTAGCAAAACGGAGATATAGACCAATGGAACAGAACACAGCCCTCAGAAATAATACCACACATCTACAACTATCTGATCTTTGACAAACCTGAAAAAACAAGAAATGGAGAAAGGATTCCCTATTTAATAAATGGTGCTGGGAAAACTGGCTAGCCATCTGTAGAAAGCTGAAACTGGATCCCTTCCTTACACCTTATACAAAAATTCATTCAAGATGGATTAAAGACTTAAATGTTAGACCTAAAACCATAAAAACCCTAGAAGAAAACCTAGACAATACCATTCAGGACATAGGCATGGGCAAGGACTTCATGTCTAAAACACCAAAAGCAATGGCAACAAAAGCCAAAATTGACAAATGGGATCTAATTAAACTAAAGAGCTTCTGCACAGCAAAAGAAACTACCATCAGAGTGAAGAGGCAACCTACAGAATGGGAGAAAATTTTTGCAATCTACTCATCTGACAAAGGGCTAATATCCAAAATCTACAAAGAACTTAAGCAAATTTACAAGAAAAAATCAAATAACCCCATCAACAAGTGGGTGAAGGATATGAACAGATGCTTCTCAAAAGAAGACATTTATGCAGCCAGCAGACACATGAAAAAATGCTCATCATCACTGGCCATCAGAGAAATGCAAATCAAAACCACAGTGAGATACCATCTCACACCAGTTAGAATGGCAATCATTAAAAAGTCAGGAAACAACAGGTACTGGAGAGGATGTGGAGAAATAGGAATACCTTTACACTGTTGGTGGGACTGTAAACTAGTTCAACCATTGTGGAATACAGTGTGGCGATTCCTCAAGGATCTAGAACTAGAAATACCATTTGACCCAGCAATCCCATTGCTGGGTATATACCCAAAGGATTATAAATCATGCTGCTACAAAGACACATGCACATGTATATTTATTGTGGCACTATTCACAATAGCACAAAGACTTGGAACCAACCCAAATGTCCATGAATGATAGACTGGATTAAGAAAATGTGGCACATATACACCATGGAATACTATGCTGCCATAAAACAGGATGAGTTCATGTCCTTTGTAGGGACATGGATGAAGCTGGAAACCATCATTCTCAACAAACTATTGCAAGGACAAAAAACCAAACACCGCGTGTTCTCACTCATAGGTGGGAATTGAACAATGAGAACACTTGGACACAGGAAGGGGAACATCACACACAGGGCCTGTTGTGGGGTGGGGGGAGGGGGAAGGGATAGCATTAGGAGATATACCTAATGTAAATGACGAGTTAATGGGTGCAGCATACCAACATGGCACATGTATACATATGTAACCAACCTGCACTTTGTGCACATGTACCCTAGAACTTAAAGTATAATTTAAAAAAAATAAAATTGTAATTCAAATATATATTCATCTATTGGTTGGAAAACTCATGTGTAATGGAAAAATATTTGTGTGAAAGCATGTATTAACACAATTCAGCATATAAATATCTCGTTAATAATAGGTAATTTGTACTGAGAACTAACCATAACACTATACATGTGTTAATACATTTTGTTGTAACATTTAAAAAAATGTAGTTATAGACTTGATCCATCCACCACCCTCAGATGCAGATAGAAAATTTTTGAGAAAATTCCAGGGATCCAAAGACAACCTAAAGCTAATCTTGGGATTCCTTCATATTTCACAGTACAGAAGATAAGTCCCATTTCAAAAGATAATACAGGAAATGATAAAATTTATGTCTTTGAGAGAATAGTTATGTTCTTAGCATCAACTTTGATAAAGGGTAGATGTTCCTTATGAACTAGTACATCTTTCATTTGGTTTGCTCTTTTGCTGGGTACAGAGGTATTCATATTTTGTTTACAGTGATACTGTGTATTAAAGTGCTTAAATAAAATGTTAAATATAAATTATATCCATGAATTATATAAAATAGATGTTTTTATTGGTATATGTTTATTTAAATTTCAAGTTTATGCTGTGTATTTACTACAAAGTTTATCCATGAGAATGTTTTCATGGGCCCAAAATTTTATAATTGAATATTTGGGATACCAATGTTTTAAACTGTAATTTTTAATAAAGAGTAATCTACCTTAAATCTGAGGATACACTTTAATTAGTTTCTGAGTTATTTTCTTTCTATCTGTCATTTGGTTAGCCTGCCTTTTGTAGAACAGATAGAAAATTTTAATTTTCACAGATAAATAATTGCCAGAATAGTTTCTATTTTAAACAACCTACTGTGCAATCTAAGGATACTGTTTAATTTCACTAGTCCAGAAGTTTGAATATATAACAATAGAGTTTTCTTTAAATGGAATTACCAATGCTATATAAAAGCTACTCTCATTTTTTTAAGTCAATACATTCTTTATCCAAAGAATTTCACATGTTGTGATTCCTTTCTTTGCCCATCAAGGTCAGCTAAGTTCCTCTAATTGAGCCAAGATTTATTTTTAAGTCAGCCCTTTTTAAAAGAATTGATGCTTAATCCATAGTTGTCCTGTCATCTCACAACTTTTTTTGTCTGGGCTTCTCTTACCTTCACTTGAATATGGACATATTGAGGACAACTTTAAAAAGTCCCCCACCAAGAATCTTTTCAATCTAATTTATTCAAGCAATTTACTTTAGGATCATTTTTAGAGTAGATGGGTATGCCTGCTTCTCAATTTCTGACACCCTTCCTAAATATGAATGGGTTCAAATAATATTTTTAAGCTATCATACCCAAGAACAGCATAGATGTGTTGGATATGCCAATACCAAAGGCAAAAGCAAATGTATTACTTGGTCTTTCACACTTTTAGAAACTCTGTCTTGTATTATAGTTCCTCCCCACAGCTCTAATAGTCCTATGAGTAAAGCAAAATCACAGAGTTACACTAGATGTTTCCAGATGGTGTGGCTACAGATAAAGCCCTATCGTGTTAGACCTCAACTAACTCTCATTCTTTAGTACAATAACATGACTAAAGCATTGAACATTTCCAATAAGAACTAAAACAGTCAATAATGAATTATTTTCATAAGATATCTTGCCCCATATTCAACTATTATTGTCCAACTATTACAAAGAATACATTTTATATCAGGCATATGTAACTTAGCTCTCTTGACTACATGTGCAATAGTATATACCCATTTTTACATTTACTCAGGTTCAACTGATATGACAAAATAAAGAATAGTCAGTGGAAAGCTATAAACTACTCCTAAACATAAAAGCATGTGTACCAGTTGCAGTTACCATAAAGAAATATATGTATATGTAAATATATATGTGCACACAATCTCATATTAAGAACTTTGTATTCATTAAAAGCCATTCCTAGAAAAAGTAAAAACACAAGCCACATAGTAGAAGGAGTTGTGTAACAGAGAAAGAGCTCAAATCCAAAATATATTGAAAAGGTCTCCTACCATTAATAAAAGACAAAGAGCCGTGCACAATGTCATGCCTGTAATCCCTATTACATGAGAGACTGAGAAGGGAGGATCACTTGAATCCAGGAGTTCAAGACCAGCCTGGACCCCAACATTTAAAAACATTTTTTTTTTTAAATTAGCCATATATGGTGTTTTGCACCTGTAGTCTCAGCTAGTCAGGAGGTTGAGGTGGAAGGACAACTTAAGCCCAGGAGTTCAAGGCTGCAGTGAGCTGGGATTACATCACTTAAGTCTAGCCTGAGCAACAGAACAGACCCCATCTCTTAGAAAATAATAATAATAAGTAAAAACTACAAAGAATTCAGTAGAGTATGAACAAAATGCTTGAACAAGCATTTCACAATCTAGGGTGTCTACATGTTCGATAAAGATACGAAAATTGCTCAATATTATTAACTATCAGAGAAATGCCAATTAAAATACAAATGAGATGTTCTTATACATCCACCACAATAATTAAAATTAAAAAGTAACTACCTTTTAAGAATTGAAGAAGATGCAGAGTAATGGAAAATCTCATACATTGCTGGTGGGAGTATAAGTTGATATAATCTTTTGGAAAGCATTGTTGGCATTGTCTACTAAAGCTAAACATACTCTTACTGTATGATCCAGCAAGTGCACACCTAGAAATATATCCAAAAGAATTGTGTGCTTACACACACAACAGTATATAAATATGATTACACAGAACAGAAAATTTTATAATAGTCAATACTAGCAAGTGACTTAATTGTCTAACAAACTAGAATGAGCGCTTAAATTGTGAAATATTTACAGAATGGATAATGAGGAGTCAATAAACTCTATGCAACACGAATAAATGCCATATCAAGTATTTAGTGTAAAAAGCAAAACAGTCTAACGTGTTGTAGATTTCTTTTAAAATGAAGTCTGAAAATGGAAATTTAATGCTCATGTTTAAGAATATATAACTTTAGAATGAAACAATAAGAATATCAAAAAAGTGATTCTCATGAAAGACAAGATATTGGTTATATTTGGTGGAGTAGATGCAGAAGTAATTGGAGAGGACAGAATGAGAACTTTGAGGCTGCTAGCAATATTGTATGTCATCATCTGAGTCAAGACACGTTCACTTTCTGATAATTCATAAACTTACATTTTCTTGTTTTGTATACCTATCTGTGCATGTGTTAAATAAGTGTTAAAATACAACATAATTTAGATCACTCACTGAGGAGGCCCACTCCATGTCTATCTGGGTCATTTACCGTGGGGTGTCAGGCCAGAGATTTGGCAGTAGTTACCCAAAAGATCAGACTTTTAATCATACTGTAGCTTTTGTTTGTTTATAAGACTAAATTAATAAATGAAGGTTATATCCCAGAGTGTGTAACAAAGATCAAAGCTAAGGACGCCAAATTCAATCACTGAGATAAACACAACCTTAGAGAAGCTGACTTTGGAAAGAAGCAGAATGTGTCAGTAAATGCTGGAAGTAACTCAATATGCATTTTTACTAACCACTGATCAACCATGCTGTTTGAGATTTGGCCAACCTCAGGGTAAAAAAATAACAAATTATAAATCAATGTTGTATCACATGGACCCTATTAAATATTTGACCATGAGTTTTCATAAGTCATGTAAAAAGATAATCTTGTCTATTTCTGTCAGTTCTTTGAAGGTTCCCAAAAGAAATGTGTACAACAAGCTCAATACCAAACCTACACAATCTTATTTTTATAACACTTGGCCACCAAAGCCCAAAATGAACCATTTTTTGAGCTAGGTTGATGAGGCACTTTTTTGTCTAGGTTAAGGGCAGAATTAAAAACACTATCTCCACTTTTTCGGAGCCCACATCTATTCTAAGACAGATGGTAAGAAACAGTCAGCTCAAATAAAAACATATCCATATGTGTAAGAAAAGGCAGGAGCACTTTCCCTAACGCTTAGTGAGTCATTGGTCTTTCATATGCTATCTCATTTATGTATTACAGAAATTCAATAAGGAAAGTGTTGTAGTTTTACAAATAGGGAAAGTAACAATCAAAGAGGCTAAATTTCATGGGGTCATGTAAGGTAATGAAGGAAGCTAGGATTTTAATCAGGAACTTACTGACTCCTGAACAAATATTTTTCCAGCTAAACCACACTGATTTAGAGTCCTCCCATGTACCAGCCTCCACATAAAAAAACTTGAAGAGTGTTTTAGATTACCATTTATTTAAAAAAAAAAAGAGTAAAAAAAAGAAAAACAGAAAAAGGAAAGGCATTTATAAGAATAAGAAAATTTTTCAAGAGGACATAATATATTCTGCTGTGAGACAAGATTATAAAAGATTTCTTCCTTGAAAATATAAATATTAGATGAAAAAGCGGTTAAACTAATAAGATAACATAAGCTCTAGATATGATTACCTATACAGAATTCTGTGATTTACATAGACTTATACATAAAATCCAAGAATGCTCTAATAAGTATTTGTTACTAACTATAAAAGAGCCCGTTTAAAATAAGTCAGATGGAGGATCCCTCAGTCAGTAGGCGGAAAGCTTACAGATTTCTACATCACCACATATTATGCATAATAAAGGGTAAAGTTAAATATATGTTTGATAGACAAAAGCAGGTCTTAATGACACTGTGGTATCATCCTAAATTTGCCACTGTGTAATATATTTTGACCAAAATTCCAAAAAGCAAAACAAAAAAAATAGAATCATAGAAAGTATGGATAACTGTCCTAGCCAGTATGGCAAATATTCCATACTGAGGTATTCATTTTATAGTTGTCACTGCCTGAATTATTTGGATTTTTTCTTTTCAATTTTTTTACTTCACTCATTATAAGAGAAATGTATAAATTTCTACTACAAAGGTAGAGACTAACCATTTAGATCTGCATTCCAAATTACTATGATGAATAAAAGTGTTTAATAATTGTAATAACTTTGTAACCCCTTGACAATCTTACAGATAATTATTATTTTAGACTATAAATACTACCTCCAAAAAGGCAAACTGTCATCTACTTTGAATCATGTAATTGTCAGTCTTCTGTTCAAAATTCTAAACCATAGCAACAGAAATTTACTTACCATTTTAAGGAATGCAGGTAGGAAACTAGAGAATAATTAGCTAAGAGACCAACAGGCAGAAATTTAAGGATCTTTAAACATTTCATATGAATTTTGTTTTTAGCTTACTTGTATTTGTTTAGAAGACTATATATTTAATATACATACACATTATTTATATGTGTGCATTATATATATAAATATATATTCCATATATACATATGCATGTGGTATTCTATATATGGTCATATATATTTCATATATGTATAAGTTGAATATATGTATTTATTACACACACATATACAAACACACATGTATATCTCATATATACACATATATGAAGATAATGTGGCAATCTGTGGTCATTGCTTTTACAATTGTTAAAGATGAAACAGTTCCTGTAAATATCTTGTTTTAGAGAGCTAAATCACATTATGTGAAAGACAAATCAATAAAACTGTTTCCAGGGGAAATAATTGAAGATTTGATTTATTTTACATCTATGTTCAGAAGTTCAGCAGCACCTCAGTATTACTTTGTTCTGTAAGACTTTTCAGAATAACCTTTACATGATGAAAACTGCCAATAGATACATTTCCTTATATTGTTAGCATTTTGGTAATATTATTTATAAAAGGGACCCTAAAGACAAATTCAAGTGAAGTACAAAAAATTATATTCCAGGGAAAATATTCTGAACTATTCTAAATTTGAACTCAGTGATATCATAATAATATAAAGAATCCAAGTTTTTCGGTTGTAATTTTAATTTTAGATTCAGGGAGTACATGTGCAGGTTTGTTATAAGGGCATATTCTGTGATTCTGAGGTTTGGGCCTCTATTGATCCCATCACACAGATAATGAACACAGCACCCATTAAGAAGTTTTTTATAGCCTTTGTCTCCTCCCTGCTTCCTTGGTTTTGAAGTCCTTGGTGTTTATTGTTTACATCTTTATTTCATGTGTACTCAATATTTAGCTCCCACTTTGTATTAGGCCGTTCTCATAGCCTTACACAAAATATCTTAAACTGGGAAATTAATAAGGAAAGAGGTTTATTTGGCTTATGGTTCTGCAAGCTATACAGGAAGCATGACAGTATCTGCTTCTGGGGAGGCCTCAAGGAACCTTTACTGACTGAGGAAGGCAAAGTGAGAGCAGGCAGTTCACATGAAGAAAACAAGAGCAAGTTGGGGGGAAGTGCAACAGGCTTTAAACAACCAGATCTGAGAACTCACTCACTACCACAAGAACGGTACCAAGGGGATGGTGTTAAACCATGTATGAAGGATCCACCCCCATGACCAAATCGCCTCCCACCAGGCCCCACCTCCAACATTAGGGATTACAATTCAACATGAGATTTGGATGGGGACACGAGTCCAAAGCCCATCACATTTATAAGTGAGAACATGCAGTATTTACTTTTCTGTTTCTGCATTAATTAACTTTGGATAATGGCCTCCAGCTGCCTCCATGTGGCTGCAAAGGACATGAAGAAATCTAATTTTTTCAAGACATTTTGTAGTATATATTTCTTGCTCAAAAGCAAGACTTTTGTGAAAGACTGGATACTAGAGTCTGTTCATAAATCAACATATATATTTGATAATATACTTCAGGGGACAATTATGAAAGAATCAGGGAAAATATACTCGTAATTTAGATAGCATGTAGAACCAACCCTGTTAATATAATATATTCTGCTAAAACACAAACAAGAATAAAACACATCACACTAGTTATTATCTTAACATGTTAAATACTGATGATTTGATTGAGTCTTAGAATTGTGGTTTTTTGACAATTAAACACTCAGAGTATGTAACTTTGTATTAAAGCCAAGGCTTTGCTGAGACCTGAAATAACAGGTAAAAGCTACTTGGAGAGGTGAAGGTGAACATTTCCAGATTGTGTTCTGAGAACCGTTTGTCTAATTCTCAAATTCTTCACTTGAATCCTGACTGCAAAATCTAAAAATAAACAATGATCTTAGCAAATATACTGACAACAACACACAGAAGTTATTGCCGCAATTGCACATGCGTGAGATATGCATAAAAGAAGGTTATCATGTAGATTCTGTTCAAGAAAGTTGCTTGGTAGTGGTGAGAAGAACTGGAAGTGGACAGCTGGATTCCTGGGAAGGCATGGAAGTCATAAAGCCAGATGTGAGCATTTTAAATCCAGTAAAAATATTTTAGTCATCAAAAAAGACTAGTGATTATGAATACAGCAGAGTGGCTGTCACTTGAATTTAGATCTTTGAAATGAAAATGGCTATAAGGAAAAAAAAAAAAAACCGAAAGAACATTTCTGTAAAATCTTGGATCACAAGCAGAACTGCTTTGGGACCCTCTAGTGGGATCTGACATTAAGGGGATTAAAGCTTTCTTTTTTTCCTTGCTATACTCCCTTTGATATAGTTGTCACACTATGTTGGCACCACAAGTGCTTTGGTGGCAGTTACAAGCGATAGGCAGAAGCAGGTCCATAGGACACAGATGGATATTCCTGGAAGAGCAGTGAAAGTTTCCCTGCACTTGGTGTTAAAGTTACAGCTATTTGGTGAAAAAACTGAACTGTCTGACAAAGCATCAGGGGTAACCAAGTAGACGTGAATGCCCTGAATAGAAGAAATCATCAGGCCTAATCAGGACAACTTTGAGGACTTGTAAACGAGTAGGAGAAGCTGCAATGTTCAATGGAAAAGGAGTGGACCTAGAAAGAAAAACAACAATCTAAAGCAATGGTAAAACCATAATGACCCCAATGGAGATAGTTAGGCTTGGTCAAGCAAGTGCATACACTGTGGAACAGCATACACTGTGGAACAGCATACACAGGTATCAACTCATGAAACAGAAAATGGCTCCAGCAGAGAAACAGCAGCCCCAACAGAAGGAGCATATGTAGAAATCAGATCACTCCCGAAAGTTCTGAAAGCTTGGTAGGCAAAGGGATGGGTGGTAGGGTGGGCAATGGAAACAGTTCCTACATTTTGCAGGTTGCAGTACGATCTAAGATATCTTGAGTTATGCTAATATAAATAATTTACATCAACAAGCAGGCAGAAACTAGGGAAAAATTAACATATCAACATTTAAACAATTGAAAATATAATTTCTTCCATTTTTCTCTGAATTTTATTTAAATAAGAAAAACCCTAGACCAAGGTAGACCAAGGTTACTTTTCATTGAACTAGATTCTTTCAAGTTATAGTAAGAAATTACATGAAAATTTAGATGATAATGCTAGCCTACAAAATGTATCATTTTAAGAACTGGAAAGTATTGATGGATGTTTAACAGTTTACATGTGCTCCTAATTATCGGTTATTAAAGTCATTTTCAAATTTTTACTGTTTTGAATAATTCCACAATAAACATATTTCTGTCTAAGACTTTATCTGCCCCCCCAACAAAGGAAAATCTCCTTATATTAGAACCCAGGAAGTAAAATTGCTTAAGGCACTTAAATATGGCTGAATTATTTTAAAAATTGGTTATTCAAATTGCACTTCTACCAGCAAAGTAAGAAAATACGTATTTTACCTCTTTTATACCAATATAAAGTGTTCTTCAATTTTTCCTAAATTGTAAAGAAAAAAATGCATGCTTCATTCATTGATGGCTTAATTGACACTTCTTCACTTACATACATACATACATTAGTTATAAAAATATTATATTTCAAGTTAGTTATTTGTAGTTAGGGTGACTTCAGTGATATCTTCACTATTTGTATTTTAGAACTTTGATGTGGAGAAGGAGCCAAGATGGCCGAATAGGAACAGCTCCGGTCTACAGCTCCCAGCGTGAGCGACGCAGAAGACGGGTGATTTCTGCATTTCCATCTGAGGTACCGGGTTCATCTCACTAGGGAGTGCCAGACAGTGGGCGCAGGCCAGTGTGTGGGTGCACCATGCGCGAGCCGAAGCAGGGCGAGGCATTGCCTCACCTGGGAAGCGCAAGGGGTCAGGGAGTTCCCTTTCCGAGTCAAAGAAAGGGGTGACGGACGCACCTGGAAAATCGGGTCACTCCCACCCGAATATTGCGCTTTTCAGACCGGCTTAAGAAACGGCGCACCACGAGACTATATCCCACACCTGGCTCAGAGGGTCCTACGCCCACGGAATCTCGCTGATTGCTAGCACAGCAGTCTGAGATCAAACTGCAAGGCGGCAACGAGGCTGGGGGAGGGGCGCCCGCCATTGCCCAGGCTTGCTTAGGTAAACAAAGCAGCCGGGAAGCTCGAACTGGGTGGAGCCCACCACAGCTCAAGGAGGCCTGCCTGCCTCTGTAGGCTCCACCTCTGGGGGCAGGGCGCAGACAAACAAAAAGACAGCAGTAACCTCTGCAGACTTAAGTGTCCCTGTCTGACAGCTTTGAAGAGAGCAGTGGTTCTCCCAGCACGCAGCTGGAGATCTGAGAACGGGCAGACTGCCTCCTCAAGTGGGTCCCTGACCCCTGACCCCCGAGCAGCCTAACTGGGAGGCACCCCCCAGCAGGGGCACACTGACACCTCACACGGCAGGGTATTCCAACAGACCTGCAGCTGAGGGTCCTGTCTGTTAGAAGGAAAACTAACAACCAGAAAGGACATCTACACTGAAAACCCATCTGTACATCACCATCATCAAAGACCAAAAGTAGATAAAACCACAAAGATGGGGAAAAAACAGAACAGAAAAACTGGAAACTCTAAAACGCAGAGCGCCTCTCCTCCTCCAAAGGAACGCAGTTCCTCACCAGCAACAGAACAAAGCTGGATGGAGAATGATTTTGACGAGCTGAGAGAAGAAGGCTTCAGACGATCAAATTACTCTGAGCTACGGGAGAACATTCAAACCAAAGGCAAAGAAGTTGAAAACTTTGAAAAAAATTTAGAAGAATGTGTAACTAGAATAACCAATACAGAGAAGTGCTTAAAGGAGCTGATGGAGCTGAAAACCAAGGCTCGAGAACTACGTGAAGAATGCAGAAGCCTCAGGAGCCGATGCAATCAACTGGAAGAAAGGGTATCAGCAATGGAAGATGAAATGAATGAAATGAAGTGAGAAGGGAAGTTTAGAGAAAAAAGAATAAAAAGAAATGAGCAAAGCCTCCAAGAAATATGGGACTATGTGAAAAGACCAAATCTACGTCTGATTGGTGTACCTGAAAGTGATGTGGAGAATGGAACCAAGTTGGAAAACACTCTGCAGGATATTATCCAGGAGAACTTCCCCAATCTAGCAAGGCAGGCCAACGTTCAGATTCAGGAAATACAGAGAACGCCACAAAGATACTCCTCGAGAAGAACAACTCCAAGACACATAATTGTCAGATTCACCAAAGTTGAAATGAAGGAAAAAATGTTAAGGGCAGCCAGAGAGAAAGGTCGGGTTACCCTCAAAGGAAAGCCCATCAGACTAACAGCGGATCTCTCGGCAGAAACCCTACAAGCCAGAAGAGAGTGGGGGCCAATATTCAACATTCTTAAAGAAAAGAATTTTCAAACCAGAATTTCATATCCAGCCAAACTAAGCTTCATAAGTGAAGGAGAAATAAAATACTTTATAGACAAGCAAATGCTGAGAGATTTTGTCACCACCAGGCCTGCCATAAAAGAGCTCCTGAAGGAAGCGCTAAACATGGAAAGGAACAACCGGTACCAGCCGCTGCAAAATCATGCCAAAATGTAAAGACCATCGAGACTAGGAAGAAACTGCATCAACTAATGAGCAAAATCACCAGCTAACATCATAATGACAGGATCAAATTCACACATAACAATATTAACTTTAAATATAAATGGACTAAATTCTGCAATTAAAAGACACAGACTGGCAAGTTGGATAAAGAGTCAAGACCCATCAGTGTGCTGTATTCAGGAAACCCATATCACGTGCAGAGACACACATAGGCTCAAAATAAAAGGATGGAGGAAGATCTACCAAGCCAATGGAAAACAAAAAAAGGCAGGGGTTGCAATCCTAGTCTCTGATAAAACAGACTTTAAACCAACAAAGATCAAAAGAGACAAAGAAGGCCATTACATAATGGTAAAGGGATCAATTCAACAAGAGGAGCTAACTATCCTAAATATTTATGCACCCAATACAGGAGCACCCAGATTCATAAAGCAAGTCCTGAGTGACCTACAAAGAGACTTAGACTCCCACACATTAATAATGGGAGACTTTAACACCCCACTGTCAACATTAGACAGATCAACGGACAGAAAGTCAACAAGGATACCCAGGAATTGAACTCAGCTCTGCACCAAGCAGACCTAATAGACATCTACAGAACTCTCCACCCCAAATCAACAGAATATACATTTTTTTCAGCACCACACCACACCTATTCCAAAATTGACCACATACTTGGAAGTAAAGCTCTCCTCTGCAAATGTAAAAGAACAGAGATTGTAACAAACTATCTCTCAGACCACAGTGCAATCAAACTAGAACTCAGGATTAAGAATCACACTCAAAACCGCTCAACTACATGGCAACTGAACAATCTGCTCCTGAATGACTACAGGGTACATAACGAAATGAAGGCAGAAATAAAGATGTTCTTTGAAACCAACGAGAACAAAGATACAACATACCAGAATCTCTGGGACACATTCAAAGCAGTGTGTAGAGGGAAATTTATAGCACTAAACACCCACAGGAGAAAGCAGGAAAGATCCAAAATTGACACCCTAACATCACAATTAAAAGAACTAGAAAAGCAACAGCAAACACATTCAAAAGCTAGCAGAAGGCAAGAAATAACTAAAATCAGAGCAGAACTGAAGGAAATAGAGACACAAAAAACCCTTCAAAAAATCAATGAATCCAGGAGCTGGTTTTTTGAAAGGATCAACAAAATTGATAGACTGCTAGCAAGACTAATAAAGAAAAAAAGAGAGAAGAATCAAATAGACACAATAAAAAATGATAAAGGGGATATCACCACCGATCCCACAGAAATACAAACTACCATCAGATAATACTACAAACACCTCTACGCAAATAAACTAGAAAATCTAGAAGAAATGGATACATTCCTCGACACATACACTCTCCCAAGACTAAACCAGGAAGAAGTTGAATCTCTGAATAGACCAATAACAGGCTCTGAAATTGTGGCAATAATCAATAGTTTACCAACCAAAAAGAGTCCAGGACCAGATGGATTCACAGCCGAATTCTACCAGAGGTACAAGGAGGAACTGGTACCATTCCTTCTGAAACTATTCCAATCAATAGAAAAAGAGGGAATCCTCCCTAACTCATTTTATGAGGCCAGCATCATTCTGATACCAAAGCTGGGCAGAGACACAACCAAAATAGAGAATTTTAGACCAATATCCTTGATGAACATTGATGCAAAAATCCTCAATAAAATACTGGCAAAACGAATCCAGCAGCACATCAAAAAGCTTATCCACCATGATCAAGTGGGCTTCATCCCTGGGATGCAAGGCTGGTTCAATATACGCAAATCAATAAATGTAATCCAGCATATAAACAGAGCCAAAGACAAAAACCACATGATTATCTCAATAGATGCAGAAAAAGCCTTTGACAAAATTCAACAACCCTTCATGCTAAAAACTCTCAATAAATTAGGTATTGATGGGACGTATTTCAAAATAATAAGAGCTATCTATGAGAAACCCACAGCCAATATCATACTGAATGGGCAAAAACTGGAAGCATTCCCTTTGAAAACTGGCACAAGACAGGGATGCCCTCTCTCACCGCTCCTATTCAACATAGTGTTGGAAGTTCTGGCCAGGGCAATCAGGCAGGAGAAGGAAATAAAGGGTATTCAATTAGGAAAAGAGGAAGTCAAATTGTCCCTGTTTGCAGACGACATGATTGTTTATCTAGAAAACCCCATTGTCTCAGCCCAAAATCTCCTTAAGCTGATAAGCAACTTCAGCAAAGTCTCAGGATACAAAATCAATGTACAAAAATCACAAGCATTCTTATACACCAACAACAGACAAACAGAGAGCCAAATCATGGGTGAACTCCCATTCACAATTGCTTCAAAGAGAATAAAATACCTAGGAATCCAACTTACAAGGGATGTGAAGGACCTCTTCAAGGAGAACTACAAACCACTGCTCAAGGAAATAAAAGAGGACACAAACAAATGGAAGAACATTCCATGCTCATGGGTAGGAAGAATCAATATCGTGAAAATGGCCATACTGCCCAAGGTAATTTACAGATTCAATGCCATCCCCATCAAGCTACCAATGACTTTCTTCACAGAATTGGAAAAAACTACTTTAAAGTTCATATGGAACCAAAAAAGAGCCCGCATTGCCATGTCAATCCTAAGCCAAAAGAACAAAGCTGGAGGCATCACACTACCTGACTTCAAACTATACTACAAGGCTACAGTAACCAAAACAGCATGGTACTGGTACCAAAACAGAGATATAGATCAATGGAACAGAACAGAGCCCTCAGAAATAATGCCGCATATCTACAACTATCTGATCTTTGACAAACCTGAGAAAAACAAGCAATGGGGAAAGGATTCCCTATTTAATAAATGGTGCTGGGAAAACTGGCTAGCCGTATGTAGAAAGCTGAAACTGGATCCCTTCCTTACACCTTATACAAAAATCAATTCAAGATGGATTAAAGATTTAAACGTTAGACCTAAAACCATAAAAACCCTAGAAGAAAACCTAGGCATTACCATTCAGGACATAGGCGTGGGCAAGGACTTCATGTCCAAAACACCAAAAGCAATGGCAACAAAAGCCAAAATTGACAAATGGGATCTAATTAAACTAAAGAGCTTCTGCACAGCAAAAGAAACTACCATCAGAGTGAACAGGCAACCTACAACATGGGAGAAAATTTTCGCAACCTACTCATCTGACAAAGGGCTAATATCCAGAATCTACAATGAACTCAAACAAATTTACAACAAAAAAACAAACAACCCCATCAAAAAGTGGGCGAAGGACATGAACAGACACTTCTCAAAAGAAGACATTTATGCAGCCAAAAAACACATGAAAAAATGCTCATCATCACTGGCCATCAGAGAAATGCAAATCAAAACCACTATGAGATATCATCTCACACCAGTTAGAATGGCAATCATTAAAAAGTCAGGAAACAACAGGTGCTGGAGAGGATGTGGAGAAATAGGAACACTTTTACACTGTTGGTGGGACTGTAAACTAGTTCAACCATTGTGGAAGTCAGTGTGGCAATTCCTCAGGGATCTAGAACTAGAAATACCATTTGACCCAGCCATCCCATTACTGGGTATATACCCAAAGGACTATAAATCATGCTGCTATAAAGACACATGCACACGTATGTTTATTGCGGCACTATTCACAATAGCAAAGACTTGGAACCAACCCAAATGTCCAACAATGATAGACTGGATTAAGAAAATGTGGCACATATACACCATGGAATACTATGCAGCCATAAAAAATGATGAGTTCATATCCTTTGTAGGGACATGGATGAAATTGGAAACCATCATTCTCAGTAAACTATCGCAAGAACAAAAAACCAAACACCGCATATTCTCACTCATAGGTGGGAATTGAACAATGAGATCACATGGACACAGGAAGGGGAATATCACACTCTGGGGACTGTGGTGGGGTCGGGGGAGCGGGGAGGGATAGCATTGGGAGATATACCTAATGCTAGATGACACATTAGTGGGTGCAGCGCACCAGCATGGCACATGTATACATATGTAACTAACCTGCACAATGTGCACATGTACCCTAAAACTTAGAGTATAATTAAAAAAAAAAAAAAAAAAAAAAAAAAGAACTTTGATGTTACAAATTTGTATGATTGTTGTTAATTATCCACTTACAATTGCAACAAATAATTTCCAAATATATTAATTTCATTGTATATTAAAAACATGGACATTTTCTATTGCATTGTACTTAAATATATTTTTATTTGTGTTTCCCCTCATTATATCTGAATTTATAATATTCGTTTTTTTACCACTCCCACACAGATTTAATAAATATTCATTTTTGTTTTCTTCTGTTTTTATAAATAAGCAAACATTCAGCATACTGAAAAGTGTTTGATATAAGGTATAAAGTAAAAGGCTTATTGATTTTTCTTGACAAATTGCAAAGCAGTCATTTCAATGTGATTTATTGGATGATATATTCCTTCCCTTCTGATCTGTTAGGTCTCCATACATACATTTTTAACAGTTATTATTGATCAAACCAGATGAGAATTTTACCCAACATATTTGTTAATTATGCACTGCATGTGAGATACTATAACAGTATAGGATATACATTACCAATTTGATCACTGAGCAGACATAGCCTTTATTTGTCACATAGTATTCTTATATTAATGTGTATATCTTTATTTAAAGCCCATTTATGTGGAGTAACATGACAGTAATGTTAGTTTCATATTTACTGGTATGCGAACCATTATTATGTATTATTTTCACAATATTTTCTAATTCTGGCAAAACTTTACATAACATACAAAAAGTGTTCTCAATTTACCTTATAAGTTCAGCAATTTAATTTATCATTTTGTGGACACAATATATATACTGTAGGTGACTTGTATATGACTAAGTGAGTGAAATTAAAATTTGGAATCAGACAGATTTGCACTCAAATTCTGGCCTGGGAATTTATTGGTCTTTAAAATATTATTTAACTTATCCAATCCTGAATTTTGTTTTATATCTGTCCATAAAAATGCTACAATTTTAAGTGACAAAAAAAGAATGCCTAGCATTGACCATGACATATAGTAGGCTGAAAGTTACATGTTTAATAGTTTGTGGAAAGAAATTACTTTCTAATATTTTTACACCATAATTTAATCACCTAGCAACTACATGTAATTAAAGACGCAGACTAGCATTTTCTCCAGAGGAGAGGGTTGAAGGGTTATCAACTATGCTAAACTATTCTGATCCTGGCTGGGGAAAGCTAAGGAATGAAAATGATGTTATATCTTATAATAACAGTACAGCTAGGAATAGAGGGAATACAGTTCCAATAAGAGGAACACATAAAAATAGTGAAGAAAATAATACTTTGGTTGAACCCAAACTTTAAAGGAAAGCTTGAGCAAGAAGCTCAACTAAGTTCAGAGTAGCTTTGCGTTTATTACTATAAATAATAATTTGTTAAATCCCCAAGTTCAAATGGAAGCATCCATTAGTCTCTGCTAAATTTTTATTTTATAGGACAGCACAGACATGCAAAAGAAGCTGAAAACTCATGACAACATTGAAAACCATGTTATATCAGAGTCTGGGGGAGTGGAGGAGTAAGGTGGCAAACGTCCACTAAAATAAAGGATCTTACATTTAGGGAGAGAATTTCAGAGTGTAACTGAGTAATTAAAAAAAAATAGTTTTGAACAAATGCCAAACTCCCCACAATGTAAACACGGTTCTAATAAAAGGTATCAATGAGTGAGACTCTAGCATAGATAGTAATTCAAGAACCGGTAGCGTCACAGACTAGAAAAGAAATGGAGTTAATTTCTTAAAATAATTTAATACAAGTCTATTGATTTCCTATAAATTTCAAAATCAAAATCAGATGGAAACAGAAATATTTATAAAATATCTCAATGAGTGAGGACATTCAAGCTTAAAATCAAAGGCATATACTGAAATTAAAATGTTTTATTTATTGGACTATGTAATAGTAAGTAAAAACGGGAAAAGTTTTATAATAAACATATTTTAAATATTGTAATTAGTGCTCTAGTTCATTTATTTACACTTCTAACAATCACTTACTGGGTGCACAGATGGGTCAGATGCTGGTCTAGACTTATCATGTACGTAGTGTTGAAAAATACACACACATCCATGTATTCACAGATGTTAAAATCTTTCAGGGATAGGAGAGTAAATGTTACACAAGGAGATATCCAAGTTAAAATTTGACAGGTACTTCTTAGCAGAAGTACAGGAAACATTTAAAGAAAACTTGACAGGAAAGATTTGAGTGAACAAGTGACATGTCTAAGGTGAGCCCTTAAGGATATTTATAAGTGAAAGGGGCAACGGGAAACATTCCAAAAAGAAAGAGCAAACTGAATTATCCCTAGTCTTAGGAAATTTCAGGTATTTGAATTACTGAAAGAAGTTTCCAACACAGCTCCTGCATGCTGTCTCTTAGACTACTACTATGAAAGCCCTGAACTAAAAATAACTCACTTCTAGGAATATTGAGTCTACCTGCTAGAAAGACCATGGGAGGAGACTCTGAGTCTCTGTAGAGAGGGACCAGGCCCAGCTGAGGCCAATCTTCCAATTGTTCTTGCCAAAGTACTACATATGT
Organism: Homo sapiens; assembly: GCF_000001405.40. Classification (NCBI taxonomy): domain Eukaryota; kingdom Metazoa; phylum Chordata; class Mammalia; order Primates; family Hominidae; genus Homo; species Homo sapiens. Next base: position 93,863,207 of record NC_000006.12, on the reverse strand, counting down.
GATTAAATCTTGGACCCTCCAGACCAGGCTAGCCAACATCTAAATGCCACCAAGCGACTGCAGTAATTATCAGGTAAAGTAGGAGAATCACTAGGGTTATCCCTACCCAAATTCCTGACCCACAAAATTATGAGGTTAAAAAATTGCCTGTTGTTTGAAACTAATAAGTCATTTGAGGGATTCTTGTAGTTAGGGAAATACATTACCCACTTCCAAAGATAAGGGTCTAATAATTATTTACAGGTATGTTTCCAGGTTTTAGTAAAATATCTCTTCACCTGTGGCATATAGAACTGGGAGAGAAGTTCAATTTGCATTTAAAGTCCTGAAACTACAAGAGTGAGGACAGTGATAGTGCATTTTGCTTTCTGAAAGTTAAAGTTTAGGAAAATAGTTCATAGGAAGACCAGCAGGCTCTCAATCCCTTGGCAAAAAAGTTCCTTAAGCTCCCTAAGTGGAAAGCCTCCGGAGGGAGTGGAAAGCCTCCGGAGGGAATGGAAAGTCTGAACTTTGTCCAAGTTTAAATCAAAGTTCCTAAGGGTTGGTAAGGGTGGGCTGATTGTAGTACTATGCATAAGGGAGGCTGGAAGCCTGATAGGAACCATTCTTTAGGCCACAATGCCATACTTTGGGCAACCATGGTCTAAGAAGTGAAGGATCATCTAAAATAGGTAGGAGCCTGGAAGCTAAAACAAGGCATCATTACATCACTAGCAAGATGCTGGACCAGCAAGGGTATTACCACATCAATGGGCTTTCATGGGAGTTCAACAATGATATCACATGGCATTCGTTCCTTCATTTTGCAAATATGTATTGAGTGCCTATTTTGTGCCAGTCTCATAAGTGCATGAAATAAAATCATAAGCAGCAATCCCTGTTCTTAGAATAAACAGTTTCAGGAGGAAATAAAAGTCACTGCTCTGGCTGATTCATGAAGTATTCTAGTGTGAAGTATTCAAGAATTCCAGGATTGGCCCTGGAAGACTTGAATAATATGGGATTTGAGATAATTTTAGAGATTTCAAAAGATAATTACAAATACAGTCATAAATATAAATGCATCAAGAAACTTAAAAATTTAATATTTTTGACAAAAAGGAATTAATTATGAATTTATCATGGGGAATATATAATTTTCTAAGTATAGGGAAAGTTATGTAATGAGAATTTATCCTGATACAATTTAAAGTAGTTGTAGAAACACACAAAAATTGAAACCACTCTGACTTCCACTATAGTGAAATGGTTAAGTAATCTCTATTTTAGGATTGCAAATTAAATGCTATTTACTAAAAGTCATAAGTGAGAAAAGAGTAAGTATATGTTAAGAGAAGAAACAAAATTCAAATGGTAATTATATACCATCATTTTTACTTAGAAAAAAAATGCATAGATAAAAATCATACTAATTATGAAATCACACCAAAACTTTTAAAATTTAAAACTTTTTTTAAAAAAGATGTATTTTTAATTTTGAAATCATTTATATCTAGTGTTTTAAAATTACTTTATACATATCATGCATTTTATCTCATTTGAAAACATGCTGGAGTCTTCTTTATGTATAAGTTCATAAGACAAATATGCTAATGCTGATTCTGTTGTGCAGAATAGGACACATTGAATCACTGTCATGAACCAAATTTCATAGAGATTAGTAGTTTATTTTTAAGTCATTATTCAACATCTTTTTAGCATTTACCTGCATTAATCACACCAGAAGCAACTGAACATATACGTCATGATATTTGAAATAATAAACTACAGTGTTAAATAAATTGCAGTCTATTTTAAGAGTGAAGCCTCATACAATCATTCACTGCCTTTCTCAGTGGACGTGATAACATTTTTGAATGCTTCATAACCAATTCTATTTGAACAATCTTTGAAATAATTTTCTAATGTTCCATTTTTATTATGGGGCTAGACTTGTCGTTTCTCATTTTTAACCAAAAAATATCTCATCATAAACCAATTGTTTGTGGATTTTTTCCCCTAAGAGAAATTATGTAATAACTCAACTGGGTGTGCAGTTTTTAAGTTATGGGCCTGTCACACTGATGATAAAAATAATAACATTCAAACTTATCCAGTGAAGTATATTAATAGCATATTCAACTTGACATTCTGACCAATACGGCCCTCAGGAGTTGGCCTATAAATGTCATGAATTGTCAAAGAGTTAAAGGGTTTGTTTCTCACAGGCTATAGTAGCCACATCTTTTTTTTTTTTTTTTTTTTAGAGAGACGGAGTCTTGCTCCTTCCCCCAGGCCGGACTGCAGTGGCGCTATCTCGGCTCACTACAAGCTCCGCCTCCCGGGTTCACGCCATTCTCCTGCCTCACCCTCAAGAGTAGCTGGGATTACAGGCGTCCGCCACCGCGCCCGGCTAATTTTTTGTATTTTTAGTAGAGACGGAGTTTCACCGTGTTAGCCAAGATGGTCTCGATCTCCTGACCTCGTGATCCGCCCGCCTCGGCCTCCCAAAGTGCTGGGATTACAGGAGTGAGCCATCGCGCCCGGCCCACATCTTATTCTTTATTATCTTACTGGTGATGTTTCAAATGTATTCCCAGAATGCACATTTATTTTATACATATAATTTGAAATACAATGTGCTGGATATTATGCTAGTTCCTTCCTTCAGGGATCTTATACCCCACTTGTAAAAATAAAATATTTAGAAACTTGACTGTAATATGTGATTCAGTATGTTGTACAAGAAAGAAAATAACATGGGAAGTTTAAAAAGGCAATTATTGACAAATTATTATACAACTTCCTATAATTAAAAATAAAACAATGCAGTTTTTCAAAATATTTTAAAAAAGAAAAAAATGCAACAGCATAAAAGTTCAGAATTCTGGGAAAAAAAAAAATCAGTTTGCCTGAACAAAATTCTTGAAGGCAGTTTTTGTAAGAGAATTATGCCTAGCAATCTGTATCTGCCCAGGGAGAGAGTTAGTTTAATGTCTTTGTTTGCTCATTGTTGTATTTCCACTGTGGCTCTCCTGGTTGCATGGCAAAGACAGTGAGAGAGTCTCAGCACTGATTGTCGCAGTTCCTGGGCCTAAGTTAACTCATGTAAGTCATCAGGAGATGAAGCATCTACATTTTCTCAATCCTCGGTCTCTGTAACTTCCTTCCTGATATCATGTTAAGAAGCAAAGCACACGAGACTTTTTGAATATTTAACTGCATAGACTTGACCAAATTCAGTGGGAGAAACTCAAATTTTATAGTACCCAAAAGCACTCTCAAATTTGCAAACTAAATTTAATCCTCTTATGCAGTACACAAGTTCTCTCCTTTTTAATTTACACTTTAACTGTCTTACAATGTGAGATTCTTTTTCACTCCTTCCTTCAGAGTACAGCTAACTGGACCAGCTATGGATTAGCATCTAGTTTCTGGTTACCTAATTTGCATGTGATGTTTCTCATTATAATATGATCATTATAAAGTGGGGAGACCATTGTCCAGGACTTTGCCTGGACAATTCTATATGACTAATCTCTTATTGTATTCTTATATCCTCCTAAATTATTTGGTTATAATATTGTAAATGTGATATCCTTTATTTTGAGCATATTACCTTAATTTATTTAATTCTAAAATGATATCCTCCTCTTATCCCATAAAATGAATTTCCACATTTAACTCCCCCATTGTTAATATAGCCCAATTAACATTCACCCATTTTTACACATTTACCCAAATGTTTATCTCCCCAAAAAATAGTCCTATATTTTTCCCTTTCTGTCTTCCTTTTTATAATTCTTTTCTTACATGTTTCCCTTCACAACACAATTCTAGAAGATAATATTATATGCATTATTACCAATTACAAAAGTAACAATATTAATTTTTCTCTTCATGAGAATAGCATTCCCTTAACGAGAACAGTTGTAAATTTAGAGGCATTATTTTGACCATTTAGGTAGTTTTAACTCTTCTTTGCTCCATTATGTGAGAGTGGCAATATTCTTCCACTATTTCTTCACTTTGTGGTTTATTGACTTCTGTATTTCCAATTACACACTTCTAATTATAAATTATACAAACAAACAAACTAGCTAGTTATGGATTTGCTGTATTTTCTGTATTCCTTCCACCAAGGCCCACTTTAATTTCCCTAATTGGTGCTGAAGTTAGAAATCTGTCCATCTCAAGGGAGCCTTTCTATGCGCTCCACTTGAATATTTAACTGCATCGACTTGACCAAATTCAGTGGGAGCTGAACCAAGAGCATCATATTGTATGTTGACTGTCTATACATCTAAATTCTATTTATCAGAATCTCTATTCCAACTATCCCAAGCACCCCAGCTATAATCTGATAGCTCTCATAACTGCATTTTAAGCCAGGATGTATCTTACCCTTATCCATTATAGGCTTATATATCTGTTTAATATTGAACTGTACCTGCCAACTGATATATGAGTTATATTATTTGTATGTATTCTCTACAACATTTCCCAAAATTTGCTCGTTAGGTAGTTGACAAATAAGTTATGAAAGTCATCAAACATATAAAGCTACTAGTACTATGGTAGTGCAGTTACAGAAATCATGAGAAAAGCCAAACACACCAGTTAACGTATTTTTCTTCTGTTACTACTATGAAGCTAACAAGTGCTAAAAGCTTTATGAACTGAATATATGTTCTTTGCTTGCATGTTCATTACCATTATAAAAATTGGCAATGTTTACTTACCAAGTGATCCAATAGGATGATAATGAGATTTCACCAAACCCACATTGTTGATACTGAGAGACCGTAATTGTTGTGGGAGAAAGGGCTATTTAATCACCCATTGTTAAGATAATAAGACTGAGTACAGAATTGTAATTGATTCCACAGGAGAGCTTACTGCAGGAATGTATTGGGTTTATCTGAAAACCAAGTTAATTATAGAGTGAAAAACAGAAAAAATGTTGATTACAGGTCAACTCTAATAAAAAAATACAAAGTACCATCTGAATTCTGTAAAACATAAAGCTGATGATGTGAAAAAAAGAAAAAAAAAGATGACTTTGGAAACAAGCTTTTAAATGTGTAATGGAATTTGAAGTCTCTGATAAAATGTGTATACACACACAGACATTTATATGTGTGTATATGTATATACGTATATTAATTATATAAATACATAATATCTTATATCACCAATTAGATTCCCTGGAAAGAAAACTCTGGGAAAATGTTAGCATAAAAATATTTATTAGAGAGTGGTCTTGAGATTAATACCCAACACGTGTTGAAGAGAAGAAAAGGAAGATTGAGCAGAGAGTGTTGGATGCTAAAAATATAAAGCACCATTCCTTTCTGAGAATTAGCCTTAGCCTAAGGGAGCACTCTCACCCCTCAGCCAAACCCACCAGTAGCTCTGGAGCTGGGATGACCTTTCAGAGTTGATCTGAGATGGCCCAAAAAGCTAAATCTTTTAATTTCACCTTAATTTGTCATGGAATGCACACTGCCCACAGAATGTGGCATGGCCTTGGGTGAGGCAGTTTTCTTTATATAAAAAGGGGGCTAAAAACTATGACTCCATTCCCAGCAGCTTGAAAAAGAGTTCCTTCAATCCTGTAAAGGGAGCTAGATACTGCATTGCAGCATTACCCACACATGTTTAAACATGATATTAGGTTATTCTTAAGTAATTGCAAACATCATTATTCCCAGGTGACCCTATTCACAAGTTATTAGTAAGTATCATATGTTAGCCCAAGTGTCTTTTTATATAAAAGTGTTTTTTAATAAGAAATTTGGAAATTGACACTTAGAGATTTATTAGGGTGTCCTCTGGGGAACCGCATGTGTAAAGAAATGAAGGAAGAATAATTGAGTATATGGATAGTTCCAACACTGGGGACTCTGGAGCTAAAACAGCCCTTCAGAGATGTCCTCAGTTAAAGTAGGGGAGCAAGCCTTTGTACTCATCATCAACCAGTCATATTATATGACCTGTTCCTTGAGAAAGTGTGAGACCCCAGGTGAGGCAGTTCATTTTGGCCAAGGGCAATTCCCAGCAAAAGATTATGTGTATGCTGTCAGTATGCACATTCTAAAAAGCTTTAGGAATGAGTTCCTTTATTCTCTAAGGGGATCCTGTGCATCATCCACAATAATATTTATTAAAAGTATTATTCAAAAATATCATCAGAAACACAAACCAAGCTTTTTTTCGAAGAGGGCAGATTGGAGGCATTGTTAGCATGTCTCTCCTACTTGGAAAGATGAAATCTTGTGTAGAGATCCACATTGTGAATGTTTTTCCAAGAAATTATACAGGAATGTAACAGGAAAATAGGAAAGAAACCACAGACCCTTTGAAAGAAGCAGTTAACAGCAGCCTACAGAGGGAACCAGAGGAAAAATTCCCCAGAGAAGACAGTGAACCTGCTAACATACCCAGCACATCACTACTACAACCAGCATCTGAGAAAGTCATTATACAAAAATTCTCTGTAACCAAGGAACTCATATAGAGTCATTACCACTGAAAGAAACTAGAGGCGAAACTAGATGATAATAAACTATAAAGTCACAACCTCATGGGAAAAAATAAAAACCCAATTGAATAAAAAATATGATGGGTGCACCAAAATCTCAGAAATCACCACTAAAGAACTAAAGGACTAATGAATGAATGAACGAATGAATAAATAATTATAAGAGAGAGTGTATTTGTTTCTTCTCACGCTGCTAATAAAGACATACCCAAGACTGGATAATTTATAAAAGAAAAAGTTTTAATAGACTTACAGTTTAGCATGGCTGGGGAGGCCTCAGGAAACTTACAATCATGGTGGAAGGGGAAGCAAACACATCCTTCTTCACTTAATGACAGGAAGGAGAAATGTCAAACAAAAAGGGAGAAACCCCTTATAAAATTATCAGATATCCTGAAAACTCTTCACTAACACGAGAAAAGCTGTATGGGGGTAACCACCCCCATGATTCAATTACCTCCCACCAGGTCCCTCTCACAACATGTGGGGATTATGGAAACTACAATTTGTGATGAAATTTGGGTGGGGACACAGCCAAACCATAGCAAATAGTCCACTCAGATGAGAAAGAACCAGAAAAATAATTCTGGCAATACAAAAAAACACAGATCTATAACACCCCCAAAATATTACAATAACTCTCCAGCAGTGGATCACATCCAAGATGAAATCTTTAAATATCAAATAATTCAAAAGGTTGATTTCACAACCAACCTTTCTCTTGTATGTCCTAGTTATGTCAAAGACGTACAAGAGAAAGGTGAAAACCAACATATATAATATTTCTTAAAAACTCAGGATATGAATTAAAAATCTTCTGATAGATAATTTAATGAGAAACCAAACCAAACTTGTGGATATGAGAAATGCATTTAGGAAACTACAAAATGCGGTAGAAGATTTTAACAATAAGCTAGACCAAGTAGAAGAAAGATTTTAGAGCTTGAAGAAAAGGCTTTCAAACTAACCCAATAAGACAAAAAGAAGAAAGGCTTAAAAGAAATGAATGAAGTCTCCAAGAAATATGGAATATGTAAAATGGTTAACCTAAGAATTATAGATTTTCTTCAAGGAAAAGAAAACATGCCAAAAGAAAAAGCAAAAAGTTTGGAAAACCCATTTGAGAGAATAATTGAGAGAAATTTCTCTGGCCTTGCTAGAGATTAAAACATCCAAATATGAGAAGCTAAAGAACTCTTTGGAGATGCATAGTAAAAAGGACGTCATCAATGCATATATAGTTATCAGGCTATCTAAGGTCAACATGAAGGAGAGAATTTAAAGAGCAGTGATAAAAAGACATCGGGTAACCTATAAAGAAAACCTATCAGACTAACAGCAAACTCCTCAGCAGAATCCTTACAGACCAAAGGGATTGAAGTCCTATCTTCAGTCTCCTTAAACAGAATAACTGTCAGTCAAGAATTTTCTATACAACAAAACATAAGTGAAAGAGAAATAAAGTATTTCTCAGACATGCAAATGCTGAGGAAATTTGTCAATACTAGACCAGCCTTATAATAAATGTTAAAAGGAACTCTAAATCTTGAAACTAAAGGTCAATACACACCAGAATAGAAATGCCTGAAAGCACAAAAATTCACAGTGCTTATAAAACAATAACACAATGCAGAAAACAAACTCACTAGTAACAAGACAATGACTGGAAGAGTACCTCACATCTCAATATTAGCATTGAATATGAATGGTCTCTATGATCCACTTAAAAGATACAGATGGATAAATGGATAAAAATATCACAAACTAGATATCTTCTTTCTTCAGGAGATACACCTAATGTAAGTATTCTTATAGACTCAAGATTAAGGGGTAGAAAAAGATATTTCATACAAATAGAAAGTAGTAACTATTCTTACATTAGATAAAACAGACTTTCAAGAAACAACAGTTTTTTAAAAAGACAAAGTCATATAATGATAAAAGGATGAAGTGAACAAGAAAATATAACAATCCTATATATATATCCACCCAACTCTGGAGCTCTCAGATTCATAAAGCACTTACTACTAAACCTAAGAATACAGATAGCAACACAGTAATAGTGAGGTAATTTAACACTCCACTGACAAACTAGACGGATCATTGAGGCAGAAAGTCAACAAGGAAATACTGAATTTAAATTGCACTCTAGAAGAAATAGACCTAATATTTACAGAACATTCTACCTAAGAACTGTAGAAGATACATTCTTCTCACCAGCAGATAAAACAGTATCTAAGATAGACCATATGAGAGCCCACAAAATATGTCCCAATATATTTCTAAAAATTGAAATTATATCACATATCTTCTCAAACAGCAGAATAAAACTAGAAACCAATTCCAAAAGGAACCCTCGAAACTATACAAATCCATGGAAATTAAACAATCAACTTCTGAATGACTTTTGTGTTAACGATGAAATCAATATGGAAATCAAAACATTTTTCAAAATGAATGATAACAGTGACACAAGTTACCAAAATCTCTGGGATAAAGACAAAGCAATGCCGAGAGGATAGTGTATAGTGTTAAATGCCTACATCAAAAAGTCTGAAAGTGGCCGGGCGCTGTGGCTCACGTCTGTAATCCCAGCCCTTTGGGAGGCCGAGACAGGCGGATCACAAGGTCAGGAAATCGAGACCATCCTGGCTAACATGGTGAAACCCCTCTCTACTAAAAATACAAAAAATTAGCCGGGCGTGGTGGTGGGCGCCTGCCGTCCCAGCTAAGGGGCAGGTGGGGGCGGGGGGAGGCAGGAGAATGGCTTCAACCCGGGAGGTGGAGCTTGCAGTAAGCCGAAATCGCGCCACTGCACTCCAGCCTGGGCAACTGAGAGAGACTCCATCTCCAAATAAAAAAAAAAAAAAAAGTGAAAGATCACAAATTGACAACCTAATATCACACCTCAAGAAACTAGAGAAACCAGAACAAACAAAACCCAAATCTTGCAGAATAAAAGAAATGGCAAAAATTAGAAGAGAACTAAATAAAATTGAAACCAAAACAAAAACTGAAAGATCAATGAAACAAAGTGTTGGTTCTTTCAAAAGATAAACAAAGTTGATAGATCACTGGCTAAATTAACCAAGAAAAGAAAATTTACATAAACTCAGTTAGAAATAAAAATGGAGATGTTACAACTTACAGCACAGAAATAAAAAATACCATTTAAGATTACTATGAACATATCTATGCACACAAATTAGAAATTCTAGAGGAAATGCATAAATTTTTGAAAATATACAACCCCGCTAGCTTGAATAAGGAAGAAATAGAAATCCTGAAAAGACCAGAAACAAGTAGAGAGATTGAATCAGTAATTTTTTAAAAACTGCCAACAACAACAACAAAGCCCAGAGCCAGATGGATTCACAGCCAAATTCTACTGAACATTCAAAGAATTGGTCCTAATTCTATTGAAACTATTCTGAAAGGTTGAGAAAGAGGGAATCCTTCCTAAGTCATCCTGCGAAGCCAGTATCACCCTGACATCAAATCCAATAAAGGATGTAACAATAAAAAACTACAGACCATTATCCCTAATAAATATAGATGTGAAAATACTCAACAAAATACTAGCAAATCAAATATAACAGCAGATAAAAAAAATTCACCATGATGAAGTGGGTTTCTTGCCAGGAATACAGAGATGATTCAATATATGCAAGACAATAAATGTGATTCATCACATTAACACAATTAAAAATAAAAAACCTTATGATCATCTCAATAATGCAGAGAAAACATTTAATAAAATCCAGCCTTATTTATGATTAAAAACCCTCAACAAGCTAGACATAGAAAGAACTTACCTCAAAGTAATAAAAACCGTGTATGACAAATCCACAGCCAACATCATGCTGAACAGGAAAAAGTTGAAAGTGTTCCCCCTAAGAACTGTAGCAAGTCAAGGATGCCCACTTTCACCACTTCTCTAAAATGATTCTGAAAGTCCTAGCCAGGGCAATAAGTCAAAAGAAAGGGCATCCAGATTGGACTAGAGGAAGTCAAACTATCCATTTGCCTATTACATAATCTGATACAGAGAAAATTCTAAAGACTCCTCCAAAAGACTCCTTGATCTGATAATTGAACTCAGGAAAGTCTCAAGGTACAAAATCAATGTACACAAATCAGTAGCACTGCTATACACTAACAATGACCAAACTGAGAACCAAATTGAGAACTTAATAAATTTTATAGTAGCTCCCCAAAATAAATTAAAATATCTAGGAGTGTACTTAATCAAGGAGATGAAGGATCTCTACAAGGAGAACTACAAAACACGCTGAAATAAATCATAGATGACACAAACAAAGGGAAATACATCCCATACTCATGGAATGGAAGAACCAATATCATAAGAATATCCAGACTGCTCAAAGCAATCTATAGATACAGTGCAATTTCAATCAAAATACAAACATCATTTTTCACAGAATTAGCAAAACAATCCTAAAATTCATATGGAACCAAGAAAGGATAATAGCCACTGAATAGCCAAAGAAATCCTAAGCAAAAACAAGTATGGAGGCATCACATTACCCAACTTCAAATTATACAACAAGGCTATAGTAACCAAAACAACATGGTAGTGGTATAAAAGTAGATACATAGACTAATGGAACAGAACAGATAACCCAGAAATAAAGCCAAATGTTTATGACCAACTGATCTTTAACAAAGCACATAGACACATAAACTGGGAAAAGGACACCCTATGCAATAAATGGTGCTGTGAAAATTGGATAGCCACATGTGGAAGAATGAAACTGAATCCCTCTCACTGTGTATGAAACTTAACGCAATATTAATTAAAGACTTAAATCTAAGACATGAAACCATAAAAATCCTACAAGAAAACCTAGGAAAATCTTTTCTGGACATTGGCCTAGGCAAAAAAATAAAAATAAAAAAGTAAATGCAAAATAAGCAAAACTAAATACATGGGATCTAATTAAGGTAAAAAGCTTCTGCACAGCAAAAGAATGGTCATCAGAATAAATGGACAACATACAGAGTGAGAGAAAATATTTGCAAATTATCCATCCAACAAAGGACTAATATCCAGAATCTACAAGAAACTCAAGCAAATCAGCAAGAAAAAAAAAATCAAAGTACATAAATAGACAGTTCTCAAAAGAAGACATACAAATGACCAACAAACATATTTTAAAACGTTCAACATCACTAATCATTAGGGAATTACAATCTAAAACTTCAACGAAATAACACTTTACCCCAGCCAGAATGGCCATTATTAAAAAGTCAAAAAAAATAGATGGTAATGTGGATGTGATGAAAAAAGAATGCTTATACATTGTTGGTAGGAAATGTGAATTAGTACAACCTCTATGGAAAAAGTGTGAAGACTTCTCAAAGATCTAAAAGTAGATCTACCATTCTTCCAGCAATCCCACTATCGGGGTTGTACCCAAAGGAAAAGAGGTCACTGTATCAAAAAGATACTTGCACATATGTTTATCACGACACAATTCACAATTGCAAATATATGGAATTAACCTAAGTGCCCATCAACCAATGAGTGGTGATATATATACATATATCACACTTTCTTTATCCACTCATTTGATATACACACCACAGAATACTACTCAGCCATAAAAAAGAATGAAATAATATCTTTTGCAGGAAATTAGAGGTAACTGGAAGACATTATTCTAAGTAACTCAGGAATGTTACTTAGTAACCATATGTTCTCTTATAAGTGGGAGCTAAGCTATGAGCATGCAAAGCATACAGAGTAATATAATGGACATTGGAGACTCAGTGGCGACGGGGGTGGGGGAGCGGCAGTGAAAAAAAAAAAAAAACTACCTATTGGGTGCAATACATACTACTTGGCTGATGAGTGCACTAAATTGCCAGACTTCTCCATGATACAATTCATCCATGTAACCCAAAACCACTTGTACCTCTAAAGCTATTGAAAAAAAAAATTTTTTAAGAACACATACCAGGTTTTCTTTATGGAAATGAATGGTAAGATTCTATCTTAAAAATATCACTGTTAATAACTTTCACTTTCTAAACTACTACTTATTTCTTTTTATCTATTACGATCTTTGTGTATATTTTAGAATGAATATGGAAAATAAACTATTAGCATTGATTTTGAAAAATATATATTCACTGTGTCCTCTTCAATAAAAGGTGTTATATAACTGAGAATATTTAATATAAAATATATGCCATTTTCATTTTTTAGATATGTGAAAGGAGAGAAAGAGAGAATGGTGTAAAAATATCTTTTTACATTCCTAGACTCTGATATTGATAATCTTATGAAAATCTCTTGTTACAAAGTGACGTAGGAATCCATGCTGTACATTTCTGTTCTATGCTCAATAATAAAACTAGCACTCTTAAGTACACAATGTTTAGGACTTTACAGTTTCCATGACATAAAATTATTCAGACATAAGTGAATAATTTAAATACCCTGCTTCTGTAATAGTCAGCTTCGGCTGCCGTAATAAAGTATTGTTGATCACTGATTGAGTAACTTAAACAACAGAAATTTATTCTCCGAGAGTCTGAAGGAGTCTGGAAGTCTGAGGTCAGCGTGTCAGCACTGTGGGGTTCTGGTTATGGCTCTCTTCCTGGCTTGTGGCCACTTTCTCCCTCTGTGCTCACATGGCCTCTCCTAGGTACATAAGTGTAAAGAGAGAGAGTGATCCTTCCTCTTCTTGTAAGGCCACCAATCCTACAAGGATTAGAACCCCAACCTTATGACCTTATTTAAGCTTAATTACCTCATAAAAGTTCTATCTCCAAATACAGTCTCTTTGTGGGTTGGAGCTTTAACATATGATTTTTAGGGGAACACGGTTCAGTTCATAGCAGCTTCTTTTGAGACTACCACTCTCTTTTGTTGATGTTTACCTACAGGCATTCAATTACTTCCACTGCCATAAATAAAGTGTATCATGTATAACTCTCCCCGCAAAAATCTATGAGGCACACTTTTAGATTAATATCTATTAAGTAACTATTAGAAAAGAATGTAGAAGTTTTAAATGTGATATATAATAAATTACAATAATTTTTGCCTTACATCTATAACAATTCATTCAAAACTCTAGGCCAGAAAATGAAAATGTGTGACTTATAGTTTATAATTTCTGACATAACATTTTGAGTATTGTTTTAGAGATATTTTTGTAGCGTATATTTTTAAAATGTGACTTTTATTTAACTCTCTTTTGTATCTGATTTTGTTGCTACATTTTTGTAGCTTTAATAATGTTCTGTGGTCAACTACCTGAACCACTGTCTGTTGCTGTACTACAAACATATAATTTTGTACATTAAAGTATTTCAAACATGCCTTGTCTCATGTCCCCTTCACAATACAGATGTAATATTAGCCTTACTTTTAGAGATATTGAAGTTGCTAACAAACTAAGCAAAAGTCATGATGTGAAAACATAATGTGAATTTTCTATCATTTAAAAATGTTAAATATATTACTACTATTTCAAGTACTACGTATGTAAAAATATCTATATGCATTTGAAAAGTATAGGAATTAGTACAAATTAATCTTTTATTTCAAATATCCTAAAATTTTGTCATAAAGGTAGTTATGAATTATGATTCTGAAGTGGAAGAAATCACTTGTGTATGTTAAGGTAATTACCACCTGTAACTCTGGGCATTGTTTCCCAAATGCACTGCATGTCTTTTACTGCTTCTGAGCATGACTACATCATTTTTAACATAAAATCTAATTAATCACACCACAGAGAGTGTACTAAACACTTTGTAATGTGGAAACAATTACACGTGATTAATGGATGAAGTAAATTTCAACTAGAAAGAGGGTTGCACTGCTTGTAAAAACATGCAGGTAAGAGGAAGTTCTGCAGGTTTTCTTGTAGCTAGACATTAGAAAAGTTTTTGAAAATGGTATATCCTTCTTCTGATAAGCTTTGTAAAAGAGCTGTGGAGTTTCCAGGTCATTCACTAAGATATAAATCAAATGCAATAATTCTGAGAACAATTTTTTTAAGCTAGAGATAGGGTAAGGTTTAAAGTTATAATTAGTGGATTCCATTGTCAGATTTCTCCATGACATCGTAGCCATGGTTACAACTGACCATGGTTTCACACCACATAAATCAGGACATTGCCTGCTTTCACAGAGAATTTTGAATATCACCTAACAATAAAGAAAACTGTATATAATATGGCACCAGTAACTAAATACGGCATCCTTTCTACACAATCTTTTTAAGATTCACATAGTTCCAATTTAGCTGTTGGCAAAATTTCTCATCATTCTTGTGATGGAGCAGCTTCAGTCTTATGCTGATTACTTAGCCATAGTCACAGCATCTCAAATGTACACAAACATTTTCTTCACACCTCTGTTTCTTTTGTTGGATGGCAGACTGCAGCAGTGACCTACTGTCTCCTCACACAGTTTAGCAGAGGAGGGAGTCGCAATGCTGTCTGGAGTTTGCGGCTACACAAAGAACGGATGCATTGGACTAACAAACACATTGCTGCTCATAGCTCCACTAAGAGCTAAATGAGGTCTTTATTTTTTTTCAAGACAAAAAGAAGCTCAGGCCCTGCAGCTGCTCCATAAAATACAGTTAAAAAAAAAATCACTGGAATTTGAATAAGAAGGGTATGAAACAGACTGATTCATTCATGGTCTCATTTTGAGATGTGCTATGTGGTTTAGTTAAGTGTAACTGAGAGCAAGGGATGTACATTCCTCAAATTATCAAAAAGTATATTTTTTATGAAAAGTTTAGAAACAGTTTTTGCTCATACCGAATATACCTGGGTGTCTATGATCATTGTATTGCACATAATGTTACCACTGTGGGTGATCATTATATAGCTTTGTTAAGGCTGCATGTAAATACCTTGCACGCACTGAGGTTTAAAAAACTGTCTGTGGTGCATGCATTAATCAGCATTTATTTTTAATGAAAACAGTGATTTATAGAGGAAGAATAAATGAAAGGTTTTGTAAATGAAGAATAAAATTGTCAATAGTCTAAGTCTTTAGCTTAGATTCCTATCTGGAATTTATCTTCTTACATGTATAGTCAGTGTACAGTAATGTAATTTTAGTCTCCGAAATTCTTAATTTTTGAAGCATTTCCACTATGCTCACGAATCCTTCTGTAATATTAGATTCAAACAATTGCAATTACACAAAATTTGTAAAATTTTAGCACCAAAAATATACTACAGACACTATTTTACATAGGTTAAAGATTACAATATATAAGCTTAAACAAATGAAGTACTTATGCACAAATAAAATGAATCTGCTAATGATGGTAGAAAACTAATTGTCTCACAAATATTATAGTATTATTTCTGAAATATAAGAGCTAGATAGAGAGACAACTAGCTCAGGTCCCAGCATTCTTATGTTCCTTAGCCTAAATGACTAAGTGGACATCACAATACAAATGACAAATATTGTTCCCTTAATTTCTATCAGCATTTTGAAACTACATTAATCAAGACAAAGAGTAGTTCTTTGTTAGTGAGTGTTTCTATAGCACATTCCTGAGTTCCTAGAGTCAAAGAGCAATAACAAATAGAAGATATGTATAATGGCTAATATAGAGTGTCAACTTGATTGCATTGAAGGATACAAAGTATTGATCTTGGGTGTGTCTTTGGGGTGTTGTCAAAAGAGATTAACATTTGTGTCAGTGGGCTGGGGAAGGCAGATCCACCCTTAATTTGATGGGCACAATCTAATCATCTGCCAGTGAATATAAGCAGGCAGGAAAACGTGAAAAGGTGAGACTGGCCTAGCCTCCTAGCCTACATCTTTTTCCCTTGCTGGATGCTTCCTGCCCTCAAACATGGGACTACAAGTTCTTCAGTTTGAGGACTCGGACTGGCTCTCCTTGCTCCTCAGCTTGCAGGCAGCCTATTGTGGGACCTTGTGATAGTGTAAGTTAATACTTAATAAGCTCCCATAAATATACATACCTACATATATATATATATATATATATGTGTGTGTGTGTGTGTGTGTGTGTATATATATATATATGTGTGTATATATATATATATATATATATCCTATTGGTTCTGTTCCTCTAGAGAACTCTAATACAATATGATAATGCAATAATAAGGCAATATCAAATTAAAAACTAATTTCTTCAATAAATTCTGTCTTTAAAATTAACCCCATATGGTTGTTATACAAATTTCCATATGGTACTATTAATTAAAATATGTGGAAACTCTTCTGATAAAAATGTTTACATAGCCATTGGATATGCCAGAGAAAAAATATTTTTATTATATGGAAACTCAATAAAAATGATTCTATGAAATTTGATAATTACCCTTATTCACAGGACAGTTGCTCTAAAAATGCTGGCACTTTCTAAAATTGTATCTGCTATCAAAATACAAAGAGTAGTTATCATTCTATTCATTCAGAGCCTTACTGTATACTGAAATACATGCCCATTCATCTCCAAATCTTGCAATCATTTCCTAAATTACTTAGAATCTGTCTTCTCCTTCTTAACTATTTGAGTTTTGACTCAAGTTTTATATTCTTTTCCCTGAATCACCATTGTAGTTTCCTATACAGATAAACTTCCTTCAGTAGATGACCTACTTCCTGAGATGGCTTAAAAAAAAATGATTTTTGTTTGTTTGTTTGTTTTTCACTACACCAATACCAAACTGTTCACACTTTTCTGGACGCAAAACGTAATTTCACATTTATCTGCCTCATGAACTCTTATTTAATATTCAAAGACCTAATGAAGACATTTTCCACTCTTATGAAACTTTGACAGTTTCCATAAACATTGCCTCTCTTTTTATGTATATTTATGATTTACATTCCTTCAGCAATCATTTATTGAATTCTTACTTGGGGTCAGTCCCGGTGCTGGTTTCTGGGTAATCCCTGCTCTGTATAAATGTCAATCAGATGGAAATCAAAGATGCATGTCAGTTATGGCTCAATGTCAAAAATTCTGTACTGAAATACAAGAGGATGCTATGCTATGGTGCTTATTTGTGACTTCTGTTTCTCCTACTGGACTATAAGCATTTTGAGGAGGGAAATTATGCTTACTCATTTTTCATTGCCAGCACCAAGAATAAAATACCTTGTATATTGTATATGTTGAGTATTCAATGTGAATTGAAGATCTTTGTTTTATATGATTTGAACGTGGTTTCAAAGGAAGGCCTGCAAATAGGTTTTGAGGAATGATAGCATCAGTGGAACTGGGGCAAAGGCTCCCAAAGCCACTACAGGCATTTCTCTTTTCTAACACTTTGAGTTTTAATAATTTATACAGACAATAATTATAAAGCTAACATTTGTTGGAAGCATACAATATTCCAGGCACCATTATAAATATTTTACATATATTAACCTATTGACTTTTTTAATGCTCACAAGTTCCATATAAGCTGAGTATTCTTATTATGTAATATGTTTCCACATTTATGACTTTATAAATGTGGAAACATAGTTCAATAATGTACTCAAATTTTTGTAACTAGTTAGCAGCAGAGCCAAGGTTTAACCTTGGCAGTCTAGCCATTCCCTGATGTACCTTTCCCATGCCTTTGATGGTTTCTGCCTTAGGGCCAATGACACTAGTGCTAGGTTTTTCTGACGAATGCTATCAACAAGCACTTTTTCAATACATAGGTCAAAACTGACGATTAGCACACTTAAGATTATGTGAGCTCTCCCTCAAAATATTCTATCACAATTGTATCTTTAAGTTTCTATTAATAAATATCAGGGGTTAACAAAATTTTTATGTTTTCTTTAATTCTCCATCTTGAAGAAAGATTTATGAAACAAGCTTTGCTATATTAATTGAATTAATATCAGTTTAGACAGGTGGCCGATACATTAAAGGTTATATATCTTTAAAATTTAACGTTTATTAAATTGAATTTGGTTTATAAAAGTGAGTACATTTGATTTGTTACCTTAGAGAAATTTTCCACATTTTAACCCAATATTGTATTTTTACATGTTGTTTTATATTGAATCCCTTTTCATCTCAGTGTCATGACTTATTAAACTCAAAATATATTTTGGGCCCTGTGAGTGAAGGGATATAAGCTTGGGAGCTGTGTTGATCTTACTCTGGTAAGCAGTGGGTTGCAAAAGTTGTCTTTTTAGTTCTTTTATCACCATATAAAAACCACAGTGGGATTATTAAGCAGTTGAAAATTGGAGGCTATAAAAAATTAAGCATGAAAATAGAGTTGCAGTAAAATAAAAACCTTCATTTTAAATATGTAATAATATTTAAATGAACAATTTTTAGGTTAGTCATAATACATAGCAAATAGCTGAGCCCAATTTAGGGGAAAAAAAGCAGGAAGAGCAATTTGTGTACTAAAAGGACCATGGTTTTAATAAGCTCACAATCTGATGCTACAATATAATTCATTAGGCCATGGAAGCAAAATTACAAGGATATGGGTCGTATGCTAAGATTTCCTGCCCAAAATGCTCTAAGTATTATAGAAATTAGGAGTAATATTTGTATAGTGGCTTCTGTCTTGTTCACTATTTTTTTCTGTTATTTTTCTTCTCTCATTTATGGAATTAAGACCTCCCTCCTAACCCTTAAAGGAGATAAATATGTATGTAATTTATTAAGGATAAAATAATAATTGTAGTACTTAAGGGAAACAAAGCAGCAAATAAGCATTGAAAGTAATTCAAGGTAGCTCTCAGCAAAATTGAGAAACTGGTGGTATTGCCAGTAATAATTCTCACTGGGCTCTGTGTTCCCCTAGGCACCTGAGACCTGTGCCCTGGCTCCTGAGATTCAAGGAAATCCCTTTACCCCATAGTCAATACACACATATGTATAAAGAGACAACCAATTAGGTATTCTATTTTTACACAGCATGCCATGTGTAAGCATTTCCTGGCACCTTTTCTTCCAAATGTTTATTTGTCCCTTAGAGTCTTTCTCCCTATCAAGAGCTATTTGGAAAGTTTAATTCCTGTTCTATATTACTTGATGTTGTATTTTTGGTATTATTTTACAATAATATAATGTGGAATTTAATTGAATGCTTTAAGAAATAAAATATTAATGAAATAGTGAATTTAAAAGGAGACCCTACCTTTTAAGGTTCCTGCAAGGAACATCTTTCTGCTATTTTCCTTTTCTTTGTGAAATTTTCTTTAAATTCATCACTAACAAATATTTAATTTAGTCTACTCTTTAGAAGTCATTTTACTAAAATTCGTGAAGAATGAAGATGCTGACCATACTGAGAATTTAAAATACAGGAAAACTGGATAGATATATACTTATGATGTTGAAAAAGCAATTTATACAATAAAATAAAAATAAATTCATCTGATAAATCCAAAGATTTCCCCTCAACACATCACTACAGATTTTGCCCCATGAACGTATCAATGATAGATGAAACAGGAAAACAAAATGAAACAAAAACACTTTTAAGGGAGTTAAGGAAGTAGGACTGGGCAGAAGGACAATATGGACTGTGATGCATTTGCAAAAAAGGACTTGGCCGGGCGCGGTGGCTCACGCCTGTAATCCCAGCACTTTGGGAGGCCGAGGCGGTCGGATCACAAGGTCAGGAGATGGAGACCATCCCGGCTAAAACGGTGAAACCCCGTCTCTACTAAAAATACAAAAAATTAGCCGGGCGTAGTGGCGGGCGCCTGTAGTCCCAGCTACTTGGGAGGCTGAGGCAGGAGAATGGCGTGAACCCGGGAGGCGGAGCTTGCAGTGAGCCGAGATCCCGCCACTGCACTCCAGCCTGGGCGACAGAGCGAGACTCCGTCTCAAAAAAAAAAAAAAAAAGGACTTAGCAAATGCTGCAAAGGATGCTGTAGAGCTGAGATGACATTTTAGAGTTGTTCCAAGTTAAGGGGCTCACATATTTTATTCCCTCATGAAACAATCATTAGAAGCAGGCAGTCCCTGGGATAAGGCCATAAACTTAGTTGAGGCAGGTCACTTTGGTCAAGGAAATTCATGGGCAGGGACTCAACTGTGAGCTGTCAGCAGTCAGCTCTTCAAGCAGCTGGGGAATGAATTTCCCAGTCCAGAAGAAGGAATTAGCATTCATTATAGCCCACCACATATGAGAATAGCCTTTTCAGGAAGATGGTTATTGTCATTTCCTGGGAAAACTAAGAGGAGTGGTAGAGAGGTGACCTACAGCCCTTCCTGTCGGTGCTGATTTCACTGACAATCATCATATCCTTCCTCTACCAATCCTCCAAAATCTTCATCTTCAGAGGCCACCTCTGTTTATCTAAGTGGCTTACTTGATGGCATGTTCAGACCAAGACCTTGAAGGTTCTGAGTCTGAGTCACCAGGCCTTTTTTTATGCTGTTGCTTTTACATCTGTCAATTTATCAAAATTGATCAAAGAAACACTGAGAGACATTCAAGTGAATGAATCACTTAGGTATCATATATATTTTTTTCTGACTCCATTGTGAATCAGAAACAATATCTCCTTAGAATACTAGAATCAATTACCTCTGTAAGAATCGTGAATTCTTTTCTCTTCCTGGTCTCTTGGCATAAGGAGATCAAATATACTATGCAGTTAGTAATTGGTTAACATGAAACTAGATACTTTCTGTAATTTTCCCTGGTGGAAGCATATATCTCTAGGAACAGAGACACATAAACCTGCAGAGCCTAGAGTTTTGGGGAGGAAAACAAATTATCCAAGTAGATCACTGGAAGTCATTATGAGTAGGATGGTTCCTACTTATGTCTGTCAGTTCTTGAACCTATGTGTTCAACTTCTTAGGGATACAGCATTATGTAACAGTTTTTAATTCAGGATGTATCCAGCATCCTAGAGGATGGCTCTTTATCCTAACAGTGCATCATCTCTAAGCTGGTGCTTCAGCTATGCCTCTGTTATTCTATTACTCCAACATAGTTGCAGTACATAATAGAGTCAATAGTGACCATATGCTCACTGGTACATCTTTTTTCTGATAAAAATGTTACTTTGGTTCTCTGTAAGACTGTGGATCCAGTGTTCTAAGGCTCTTAAAGAGTGATGTTGCCTTAGATCCTTAGGTCCTTCAGGTTGAAATTTATAAACTTGAAACGTATGTTGATTCCAGTCAAGATGAGTCATTGTTCCTTCCAGGGTAAAAGGGGTACAGTGTAATAAACTGGACACCAAAAAGCTGGTTGGTCCCCAAGAGATAATGGCATACTGAGTCTTTCTGATGTGAAAATTTTATGTTTCCATTTGACTGTACCATCAGAGTGCTCAGACATTTTGACAAATATTATTTTCAGTGTGTCTGTGAGGGTGTTTCTAAATGAGATTAACTTTTTTTTTTCTTTGAGACAGGGTCTTACTCTGTCGCCCAGGCTGGAGGGCAGTGGTGCCATCTCAGCCCACTGCAACCTGCACCTCCCGGGTTCAAGCGATTCTCCTGCTTCAGCCTCCCAAGTAGCTGGGATTACAAATGCCTACCACCACACCCGGCTAATTTTTGTATCTTTAGTAGAGACGGGGTATTGCCATGTTGTCCAGGCTGGTCTAGAACTCCTGACTTCAAGTGATCCTCCTGCCTCAGCCTCTCAAATTCATAGGATTACAGGCATGAGTCACGGCACCCCGCCAAGATTGACTTTTGAATCTCTAAACTGAATAAAGTAGGTTGTCTTCCTTGGTATGAGTGGGCCTTATCTAATCAATTGAAGACCTGAATAGAAGAAAAAGGCTGATTAAGAGGGAACTTCTGCTGCCTGACTGTTAAACTGAGCAATGGGTGATTTCCAGCCTTCAGACTGTAAGCAAATCATTGACTCTTCTTGAGTCTTGAGCCTGTCGACATTCAGACTGGAATTTATATCGCTGGCCCTCCTGATTCTCCAGATGGCCAACTGGAGATCTTGGGATTTCTCAGCCTCCACAACTGAATGAGCCAATTTTTTATATAGTAAATCTTTATATGCATATATACGCACACTACACACACATACACATGCACATATATACATACATACATTCCATTTATTGTTTCTGTTTGTCTGGATAACCCTGACTAATACAGTTTCTGAGCATTGGCCACTGAAAGATATGCTATTTGTCATTGGCTGTAACTGAATCAGCTTTAGGAAATGGGAGTGCATCCTCTTGGGTCCACTTATTACATCCTTTAATGTCATCATTGCTACTTGATTTATGTGTCCATTGTGCCAAACTTGAAGTCTGGCTGATGGCAACTTGTCAAAACATACTTTCTACTTGGGTTTTTAGTGATATATATACACACATATATACATATATATATGTATATATGTGTGTATATATATGTATATATATATACATATATATATATTCTCTAGTGGGCATTAACAAAAGAAACAATAATCTTCAGGCATTACACCCACAGGACCCTCTATGACTCATCCCCAGTCCTCTTAGTCCATTATTTTTTGAGAGGGTGTTTGTTTTATTTTATATATTACAAGGTTTTAAAATTCCTCTATTTTGCAAATTTGTGCTGTCAATGGAGAATTTGAAGAATTCCCAAGGCCTGAAGAGAACAATGAGTCAAAACTGAGCATCATGCTCAGTTATGGAAACAAATAGGTTTATTACTAGACATTGTTAAGGCGATTGCTATCTATAACCTCTGCTTTCTTTCATCCAAGGTTGGTAACTTCCACTCAATGACAAGGGCACGACATTTTAGTTTAATTCTTCCAATCTTTTTCTTTTTAATTGCAGTTAATAAGAACCCCACATAACATAAAATTTACCATCCTAATCATTTTTAAGTGTACATCAGTAATGTTAGGTATACTCGCATTGGTGTACAAGAGATCTCCAAAACTTTTTCATCTATCAAGACTAAAATTCTATACCCATTAAACAACTAAAATTTCTCCCTCTGTCCAGCACCTAATAAGTAATATCCTACTTTCTGCTTCTATGAATTTGACTACTTTATATACCTCATATAAATGTAGGCATACATATTTGTCTCTCTGTCACTAGCTGATTTCACTTAGCATAATTCCTCAAAGTTTATCTATGTCAAAGCACGTGACAAGATTTCTAAGGCCAAATAATATGCCACTCTATGTGTGTACCACATTTTGTTTATTTATACATCTATCAAAGGACATTGACTTTGCTTCCCCTTCTTAGCTATTGAGATTAATGCTGCTATGAACATGAGTGTTCAAATATCTCATTTCTGCCTTTAATTATTTTAGAGATATATCCAGAAGAGAGATTGCTTGATCATATAGTAGTGTCATTTTTAATTTTGGGGGGAACTACTATACTGTTTTCCATTGCAGTTGCTTCATTTTATAATCTACTAAAAGTTTGAAAGTATTCCAATTTCTCCACATACTTTCCAACACTTGTTTTCTGCTTTGCTTTTTTGTTTGTTTGTTCATTTGTCTGTTTGTATTGATAGTAGTTGTTATGGACAGAAATGTATCCCACAAAATTTATATGTTGAAACTCTAACCCCTAGTACTTTCAAAATGTGACTATATTTAGACACAAGTCCTTTAAAGAGGTGATGGAGCTAACGTGAGGCTGTTAAGGTAGGCCCCAATTCAGTCCGACTTGTATCCCTATAAGACCAGAAAATTTGGACACAAACTGAAAGACCAGGTATGTGCACATACAGGGATAAAAATGGGAAGACACAGAGAGCAGATGGCCATTTGCTAGTCAAGGTGACATGGTTTGGCTGTGTCCCTACCCAAAATCTCATCTTAAATTATAATTCCCATAATCCTCACACGTCAAGGGCAGGATCAGGTGGAGGTAATTGGATCATGGGGGCAGTTTCCCCCATGCTGTTCTCATAATAATAAGTGAGTCTCATGAGATCTGATGGTTTTATAAGCTTCTGGCATTTCCCCTGCTTGCACTCACCCGTCCTGCTGCCCTGTGAGGAAAGTGCCTACTTCTCCTTTGCCTTCCACCATGATTGTAAGTTTCCTGAGACCTCCTCAGCAATGCAGAACTGCAAGTCAATTAAACCTCTTTTCTTTATAAATTATCCAGTCTTAGATATTTCTTATAACAGTGTGAGAAAGGACTAATACACAAGGAGAACAGTATGGGGAGAAATGAAACATGCTGACACCTTCATCTTGAACTTCTAAGCCTACAGAACTTTGAGAAAATAACTCTCTGTTGTTTAAGCCACCCAGTCTGTGGTATTTGTTATGGCTTCCTTAGCAAACTTAATATAGTAGCCATCCTCGTGGGTGTAAGGTGATATCTCATTGCCGTTTGGGTTTGCATTTAACTGAGGACTAATGATATTGAGCATTTTTAATATGCCTGTTGGCCATTTGGATATCATCTATGGAGAAATTTCTGTGCAAGTCATTTGCCGATTTTATAACCAGGTTATTTGTTGTTGTTGTTGAGCTGTAAAGAGGTACTTTTTAATATATTCTGGATACTAACCCTTTATCAGATATGTAATTTACAATTTTTTTCTTCTATTCAGAAGCCCATGATATTTTATATTTTCTTCTTCCAAGCCCCTAAACGGCCCTATGCAAACAGGATATTCATCCAAGTTACTCAATAAAAGTGTTAAAGAAGTATTCCAACTACAGAGTATAGGCCTCTAGACTGCAAAGTGGCCTGCCTTTTTTCAGGTGAAGTTACTGGTGAGATAAAATACTTTATTTTTGATTTTGAATGGGGATATCCTGGCATTCTCAAAAATGCTAACTTTTAAAATCTTTATTTAAATAATGAATCTCTGAATCATCATAGGATTTATCAAAGTACCTTCTGAGTTCCAAGTAAAACAAAAATAATATTTTTTAAACTTTTGTTTTAAGTTCAGGGGTTCAAGTGCAGGTTTTTAACATATGTAAACTTGTGCCATGGGGGTGAGCTGTACAGATTGTTTCATCACTCCAGTATTAAGCCTACTACCTATTAGCTGTTTTTCCTGAGCCTCTCCCTTCACCACCCTTCACCCTCTGAAAAGCACCGGTGGGTGTTATTCCTCTCTATGTGTGCATGTGTTCTCATCAATTAGCTCCCACTTATAAATGAGGATATGTGGTATTTGCTTTTCTGTTTCTGTGTTAGTTTGCTAATGATAATGACCTCCAGCTCCATCCATGTCCCTGTAAAGGACATGATAATCATTCTGTTTTATGGCTGCATAGTATTCCTTGGTGTATATGTACCACATTTTCTTTATGCAGTCTATCATTGATGGGCATTTAGATTGATTCCATGTCTTTGCTCTTGTGAATAGTGCTGCAATAAACATACACATACATGTATCTTTATAACAGAACGATTTTATATTCCTTTGGGTATATACCCAGAAATCGGATTGCTAGGTCAAATGGTATTTTTGTCTCTAGGTCTTTGAGGAATTGCTACACTGTCTTCCACAATGGCCAAACTTCTTTGCACTCCCAACAACAGTGTATAAATGTTCTACAACTTTGCCAGCATCTGTTATTTTTTTATTTCTTAATAGGAGATATTCTGATTGGTGTTAGATGGTATCTCATTGTGATTTTGATTTGCAATTCTCTAATGATCAGTGATGTTGAGCATTTTTTTTTTTTTTGTATGATTTTTGGCCACACGTATGTCTTCTTTTTGAAAAGCGTCTGTTTTGGGTTTTACATTTAAGTCTTTAAGCCATCTTGAGTTAATGTGTATATATGGAGTAAAGAAGGGATTCAGTTTCAATCTTCTGCATATGGCTAGCCGGTTATGCCAGCATCATTTATTGAATCGGGAGTCATTTCCCCATTTTTTTTTTTTTTTTTTTGGTCACGTTTGTCGAAGGTCAGATAGCTGTAGGTGTGCAGTCTGATTTCTGGGACCTCTAATCTGTTTCACTGGTCTATGTGTCTGTTCTTATAATAGCACTATACCTTGCTGTTTTGATTATTGTACCCCCGTCATATAGTTTGAAGTCAGGTAGTGTGATGCTTCCAGCTTTGTTACTTTTGCTTACAATTGCCTTGGCTATTAGGGCTCTTTTTAGGTTCCATATGAATTTTAAAATAGCTTTTTCTAGTTCTGTGAAGAATGTCAATGGTAGGTTAATAACATTGAATATATAAATTGCTTTGAGAAGTATGGTCATTTTAATGATATTAATCTTTTCTATCCATGATCATGAAATGTTTTTCCATTTGTTTGTTTCATCTCTGATTTAGTTGAGCAGTGGTTTGTAGTTTTACTTGTGGAGTTCTTTCACCTCCCTAGTTAGCTGTATTCCTAGGTTTTTTATTCCTTTTATGGCAAAGATTAAAAAAGACAAAGAAGGGCATTACATAATGGTAAATAATTCAATTCAACATGAAGAGCTAACTATCCTAAATATATATGTGTGTAACACAGGAGCACCCAGATTCATAAAGTTCTCGGAGACCTTCAAAGAGACTTAAACTCCCACATAATAATAGTAGGAGACTTTAACACCCCACTAACAATATTAGATAGATCATCAAGGTAGAAAGTTAACAAAGATATTCAGGACCTGAACCCAAAACTAGATCAAATGGGCCTGATAGTTATCTGCAGACCCTGAAACGATAGAATATATATTCCTCTCATCGCTGCATGGCATTTCCTCTAAAATCAACCACATAATTGAAAGTAAAACAACTCCTTAGTAAATGCAAAAGAACTGAAGTCACAGAAAATGGCCTCTCAGACCACAGCGCAATCAAATTAGACCAAGACTAAGAAATTCACTCAAAACCATATAACTACATGGAACTCGAATAACTTTCTCCTGAATGACTTTTGGGTAAATAATGACATTAAAGTAGGAATCTAGTAAGAAAAAAGCACAACATACCAGAATCTCTGAGACACAGCTAAGGCAGTGTTAAGAGAGAAATGTATAGCACTAAATGTCAGGCCTCTGAGCCCAAGCCAAGCCATCGCATCCCCTGTGACTTGCACGTATATGCCCAGATGGCCTGAAGTAACTGAAGAATCACAAAAGAAGTGAATATGCCCTTCCCCACCTTAACTGATAACATTCCACCACAAAAGAAGTGTAAATGATCGGTCCTTGCCTTAAGTGATGACATTACCTTGTGAAAGTCCTTTTCCTGGCTCATCCTGGCTCAAAAAGCACCCCCACTGAGCACCTTGTGACCCCCACTCCTGCCCGCCAGAGAACAAACCCCCTTTGACTGTAATTTTCCTTTACCTACCCAAATCCTATAAAATGGCCCCACCCTTATCTCCCTTCGCTGACTCTCTTTTCGGACTCAGCCCGCCTGCACCCAGGTGAAATAAACAGCTTTCTTGCTCACACAAAGCCTGTTTGGTGGTCTCTTCATATGGACGCGCATGAAATTTGGTGCCGTGACTCAGATCGGGGGACCTCCCTTGGGAGATCAATCCCCTGTCCTCCTGTTCTTTGCTCCATGAGAAAGATCCACCAACGACCTCAGGTCCTCAGACCGACCAGTCCAAGGAACATCTCACCAATTTTAAATCAGGTAAGTGGCCTCTTCTTACTCTCTTCTCCAACCTCTCTCACTGTCCCTCAACCACTTTCTCCTTTCCACTCTTCAATCTCTCCCTTCTCTTAATTTCAATTCCTTTCATTTTCTGGGAGAGACAACGGAGACACGTTTTATCCGTGGACCCAAAACTCCGGCGCCGGTCACGGACTGGGAAGGCAGCCTTCCCTTGGTGTTTAATCATTGCAGGGACGCCTCTGATTATTCACCCATGTTTCAAAGCTGTCAGACCACGCAGGGACGCCTGCCTTGGTCCTTCACCCTTAGTGGCAAGTCCCGCTTTTCTGGGGAAGGGGCAAGTACCCCTCAACCCCTTCTCCTTCACTCCTAGCAGCAAGTCCCGCTTTTCTAGAGGAGGGGCAAGTACCCCCAGCTCGTATCTCTGCGCCCCAATCCCTTATTTCCGTGCCCCTACCTCTTATTTCTGCGCCCCATCCCTTATTTCCATGCCCCGACCTCTTATCTCTGCGCCCCAACCCCTTTTCCCACTTTTCTGGAAGGTAAGAACCCCCGAACCCCTTCCCTCCATTTATCTACTCTCTCTTTTCTCTAGGCTTGCTTCCTTCACTATGGGAACCTTCCACCTTCCATTCCTCCTTCTAGTCCCTTGGCCTGTGTTCTCAAAAACTTAAAACCTCTTAACTCACACCTGACCTAAAACCTAAATGCCTTATTTTCTTCTGCAATGCCACTTGACCCCAATACAAACTCGACAGTAGTTCCAAATAGCCAGAAAATAGCACTTTGAATTTTTCCATCCTGCAAGATCTAAATAATTCTTGTCATAAAATAGGCAAACGGTCTGAGGTGCCTGACGTCCAGGCATTCTTTTACACATCAGTCCCTTCCTAGTCTCTGTGCCCAGTGCAACTCGTCCCAAATCTTCCTTCTTTCCCTCCTGCCTGTCCCCTCAGTCCCAACCCCAAGCATCGCTGAGTCTTTCTAATCTTCCTTTTCTACAGACCCATCTGACCTCTCCCTTCCTCCCCAGGCTGATCCTCGCCAGGCTGAGCTAGGTCCCAATTCTTCCTCAGCCTCTGCTCCTCCACCCTATAATCTTTTTATCACCTCCCCTCCTCACACCTGGCCTGGCTTACAGTTTCGTTCCGTGACTAGCCCTCCCCCACCTGCCCAGCAATTTACTCTTAAAAAGGTGGCTGGAGCTAAAGGCATAGTCAAGGTTAATGCTCCTTTTTCTTTATCCCAAATCAGATAGCGTTTAGGCTCTTTTTCATCAAATATAAAAATCCAGCCCAGTTCATGACTTGTTTGGCAGAAACCCTGAGACACTTTACAGCCCTAGACCCTAAAAGGTCAAAAGGCTGTCTTATTCTCAAAACACATTTTATTACCGAATCTGCCCCGACATTAAATAAAACTCCAAAAATTAAATTCCGGCCCTCAAACCCCACAATAGGATTTAATTAACCTCGCCTTCAAGGTGTACAATAACAGAAAAAACTTGCAATTCCTTGCCTCCACTGTGAGACAAACCCCAGCCACATTTCCAGCACACAAGAACTTCCAAACTCCTGAACTGGAGCGGCCAGGCGTTGCTCCAGAACCTCCTCCCGCAGGAGCTTGCTACACTTGCTAGAAATCTGGCCACTGGGCCAAGGAATGCCCGCAGCCCGGGAGTCCTCCTAAGCCGCGTCCCATCTGTGTGGGATCCCACTGAAAATCGGACTGTTCAACTCACCTGGCAGCCACTCCCAGAGCCCCTGGAACTCTGGCCCAAGGCTGTCTGACTGACTCCTTCCCAGATCTTCTCGGCTTAGCGGCTGAAGACTGACACTGCCCGATCGCCTCGGAAGCCCCCTAGACCATCACGGACGCCGAGCTTCGGGTAACTCTCACAGTGGAAGGTAAGCCCGTCCCCTTCTTAATCAATACGGAGGCTATCCACTCCACATTACCTTCTTTTCAAGGGCCTGTTTCCCTTGCCTCCATAACTGTTGTGGGTATTGACGGCCAGGCTTCTAAACCTCTTAAAACTCCCCAACTCTGGTGCCAACTTAGACAATACTCTTTTAAGCACTCCTTTTTAATTATCCCCACCGGCCCAGTTCCCTTATTAGGCTGAGACACTTTAACTAAATTATCTGCTTCCCTGACTATTCCTGGACTACAGCTATATCTTATTGCCGCCCTTCTTCCCAATCCAAAGCCGCCTTTGCGTCCTCCTCTTGTATCCCCCCACCTTAACCCACAAGTATAAGATACCTCTACTCCCTCCTTGGCGACCGATCATGCACCCCTTACCATCTCATTAAAACCTAATCACCCTTACCCCACTCAATGCCAATATCCCATCCTGCAGCACGCTTTAAAAAGATTAAAGCCTGTTATCACTCGCCTGCTACAGCATGGCCTTTTAAAGCCTATAAACTCTCCTTACAATTCCCCCATTTTACCTGTCCTAAAACCAGACAAGCCTTACAAGTTAGTTCAGGATCTGCGCCTTATCAACCAAATCGTTTTGCCTATCCACCCCGTGGTGCCAAACACATATACTCTCCTATCCTCAATACCTGCCTCTACAACCCATTATTCTGTTCTAGATCTCAAACATGCTTTCTTTACTATTCCTTTGCACCCTTATTCCCAGCCTCTCTTCGCTTTCACTTGGACTGACCCTGACACCCATCAAGCTCAGCAAATTACCTAGGCTGTACTGCCGCAAAGCTTCACAGGCAGCCCCCATTACTTCAATCAAGCCCAAATTTCTTCCTCATCTGTTACCTATCTCAGCATAATTCTCATAAAAACACACGTGCTCTCCCTGCCAATCGTGTCCAGCTGATCTCTCAAACCCAAGCACCTTCTACAAAACAACAACTCCTTTCCTTCCTAGGCATGGTTAGCACGGTCAGAATTCTTACGCAAGAGCCAGGACAACACCCTGTAGCCTTTCTGTCCAAACAACTTGACCTTACTGTTTTAGCCTAGCCCTCATGTCTGCGTGCAGCAGCTGCCGCTGCTTTAATACTTTTAGAGGCCCTCAAAATCACAAACTGTGCTCAACTCACTCTCTACAGTTCTCATAACTTCCAAAATCTATTTTCTTCCTCATACCTGACGCATATACTTTCTGCTTCCCGGCTCCTTCAGCTATACTCACTCTTTGTTGAGTCTCCCACAATTACCATTGTTCCTGGCCCAGACTTCAATCCGGCCTCCCACATTATTCCTGATACCACACCTGACCCCCATGACTGTATCTCTCTGATCCACCTGACATTCACCCTATTTCCCCAAATTTCCTTCTTTCCTGTTCCTCAACCCTGATCACACTTGATTTATTGATGGCGGTTCCACCAGGCCTAATCGCCACACACCAGCAAAGGCAGGTTATGCTATAGTACAAGCCACTAGCCCACTTCTTAGAACCTCTCATTTCCTTTCCATCGTGGAAATCTATCCTCAAGGAAATAACTTCTCAGTGTTCCATCTGCTATTCTACTACTCCTCAGGGATTATTCAGGCTCCCTCCCTTCCCTACACATCAAGCTCGAGGATTTGCCCCACCCAGGACTGGCAAATTAGCTTTACTCAACATGCCCTGAGTCAGATAACTAAAATGCCTCTTAGTCTAGGTAGACACTTTCACTGGATAGATACAGGCCTTTCTTACAGGGTCTGAGAAGGCCACCGCAGTCATTTCTTCCCTTCTGTCAGACATAATTCCTCAGTTTAGCCTTCCCACCTCAATACAGTCTGATAACAGATGAGCCTTTATTAGTCAAATCAGCCAAGCAGTTTTTCAGGCTCTTAGTATTCAGTGAAACCTTTATATCCCTTAAGGTCCTCCGTCTTCAAGAAAAGTCAAATGGACTAAAGGTCTTTTAAAAACACACCTCACCAAGCTCAGCCACCAACTTAAAAAGGAATGGACAATACTTTTACCACTTTCCCTTCTCAGAATTCAGGCCTGTCCTTAGAATGCTACAGGGTACAGCCCATTTAAGCTCCTGTATAGACACTCCTTTTTATTAGGCCCCAGTCTCATTCCAGACACCAGACCAACTTAGACTGTGCCCCAAAAAACTTGTCATCCCTACTATCTCCTGTCTAGTCATACTCCTGTTCACCGTTCTCAACTACTCATACATGCCCTGCTCTTGTTTACACTGCCAGTTTACACTGTTTTTCCAAGCCATCACAGCTGATATCTCCTGGTGCTATCCCCAAACTGCCACTCTTAACTCTTGAAGTAAATAAATAATCTTTGCTGGCAGGACTATGCTGAATCTCCTTAGGCACTCTCTAATCAGATATCCAGAGTCATCCCAATTCTTAGCCAAAACCGTATCCAGGCCATCACCAGTCATTCTATACGACAAATGTTTCTTCTAACATCCCCACAATATCACCCCTTACCACAAGACCTTCCTTCAGCTTAATCTCTCCCACTCTAGGTTCCCACGCCGCCCCTAATCCCGCTTGAAGCAGCCCTGAGAAACATCGCCCATTCTCTCTCCATACCACCCCACAAAAATTTTTGCCGCCCCAACACTTCAACACTATTTTGTTTTATTTTTCTTATTAATATAAGAAGGCAGGAATGTCAGGCCTCTGAGCCCAAGCCAAGCCATCGCATCCCCTGTGACTTGCACGTATATGCCCAGATGGCCTGAAGTAACTGAAGAATCACAAAAGAAGTGAATATGCCCTTCCCCACCTTAACTGATAACATTCCACCACAAAAGAAGTGTAAATGGTCGGTCCTTGCCTTAAGTGATGACATTACCTTGTGAAAGTCCTTTTCCTGGCTCATCCTGGCTCAAAAAGCACCCCCACTGAGCACCTTGCGACTCCCACTCCTGCCCGCCAGAGAACAAACCCCCTTTGACTGTAATTTTCCTTTACCTACCCAAATCCTGTAAAACGGCCCCACCCCATCTCCCTTCACTGACTCTCTTTTCGGACTCAGCCCACCTGCACCCAGGTGAAATAAACAGCCATGTTGCTGTGTAATTTATATTAAAAAAAGAGGATTAATTGACTCAAAGTTCAGCATGGCTTGGGAGGCCTCAGGAAACTTACAATCATGGCATAAGGGGAAGCAAATATGTCCTTCTTCACATGGTGGCAGCAAGGAGAATTGTAGACAGAAGATGGGGAAAGCCCTTTATAAAATCTTCAGATCTTGTGAGAACTCACTCACTATCATGAGAACAGCATGGAGGTAACTGGCCCCATGATTCAATTACCTCCCACTGGGTCCTTCCCAGGAAATGTAGGGATTATGAGAATTACAATTCAAGATAAGATCTGGGTGGGGATACAGCAAAACCATATCACCTACTAACTAAAAAGGCCCAGATCTAGACAGATTCACAGTTGAATTTTACCAGATGTACAAAGAAGAGCTGGTACCTTCCCTTCTCAATGTATTTCAAAAAATTGAAGAGACTCCTCCCTAACTCATTGTATAAGGCAAGTATCCTGATACCAAAACCTGGCAGACACACACACACACACACACACACACAAAAGAAAACTTCAGGCCAATATCCTTGATGAACATCAGTGAAAAATTCCTCAACAAATTGCATCTAGTGGCACATCTCAAAGCTTATCCACCACAAACAAGTAGACTTCACCTCTGGGATCCAAGGTTGGTTCAATATATGTAATCAGTAAATGTGATTCATCACATAAACAGAACTAAAGACAAAAAAAAAAAACATAGTTACCTCAATAGATGCAGAAAAGGCTATTGATAAAATTCAACATCCCTTCATGTTAAAAACTCTCAATAAACTAGATATTGAAGGAACATACTTCAAAATAATGAGAGCTATATATGACAGATGTACAGCCAATGTCATATTAAATGGGCGAAAGCTGGAAGCATTCTCCTTGAAAACCAGCAAAAGAAAAGGGTGCCCTGTCTCACCACTTCTATTCATCATAGTATTGGAAACTGTGGCCAGGGCAATAGGTAAGAGAAAGAAAGAAAGTCATTCAGCTAGGAAGAGAGGAATTCAAAGTATTTGTGATTGCAAATGGCATGTCTTATATCTAGAAAACTCCATCCTTTCAGCCTAAAAGCTTCCTAAGCTAATAAGCAACTTCAGCAAAGTCTCAGGATACAAATGTGTGCAAAAATCACTAGCATTCCTGTACATGAGAAACAGTCAAGAAGAGAGCCAATCATGAACAAACTCTCACAATTGCCCCAAAAATAATATTAATAATTTTTAAGAGCTAGGCACTTAGTATTACAATTACAGAACATCAAATATAAAAGTAATATTAAACGCTTGCAGTGAATAGAGATACATTGCTTATGGGATATGTGACATCAAAGAAAACATCAGAGACTTTGTTAAAGGCAGCAAGACAGATTTTATTCAGTTTATTTAAGTTTGGGAGACTGACTCCAGTATAAACAGCTTAAATTCAACTAAGACAAAGATGGCCGAAGATTTTTTTGTCAACTTTTATTTAAGTAGTACCAATAGGTAGTTTTTCAACCCCTCCTCTCTTCCCTCCTCTCCTGTTTTGTAGTCCCCAGTGTCTATTGTTTCCCTCTTTGTGTCCATGCATACCCAATGTTTAGCTTCCAGTTATAAGAGAGAACATGCAGCATTTATTTTTCCATTTTTTGCATTAACTCACTTAGGATAATGGCCTCCAGTTGCATCCATGTTGCTGAAAAAGACATGATTTCATTATTTTTTATGGCTTTGTGATTACATCATGTGTATGTTCCTCATTTTCTTTATCCAATTCATCTTTGATGAGCACCTAGGTTGATTCCATGGCTTTACTATTGTAAAATAGTGCAGTGATAAACATACAAAGCCATGTTTCTTTTATTTATTTTCCTTTGGATATACGGCCAGTAGTGGGATTGCTGGGTTAAATGATAGTTCTTTTAGTTGTTTGAGAAATCTCCTAACTGCTGTCTAAAATGGCTGAACTAATTTATACCCGCACTTGAAGTTTTTCAAGAGAAAAAAAAAAGAAGAAAAAGAGACAATGGGAAGGTAAAAAAGGAAGAACAAAATGGACTGGGGGATCTGGAGATATCAGGAATTACAAGAAGGGGTCAAATGAACAATTATTAAAAATGTTTTGACAAAGTCGGTAAGGACAATTGACAATTTGCAGTTTGGCAGCATTGCATTTTATTGAGCACAGGACTAGAGTCACCTTTAGGAGAATGCACAGGACTCAGCACAGGACTGGAGTCACCTTTAGGAGAATGACCTAGAACAGGTGGAAACCAGAGTAAAGTTTGGTCAAATCTGTTAGCACAGTGTTCAAAAAAGTCCCTGATGCCATGTGGGAGTTCAGGTTTACATTGATAATTGACTGACAGCAGAATTTTTATCAACAATAAATACCTTAAAATTAAGGAGTAATATCATCCACAATGTCCAATAGATATTTTTTTAAACCGAGCTAGACATGCAAAAGAAAATTTAATGACTAGGAACAGACCTAAAAAGTACTCAGATGTTTCATTAATATAATCTGATGAAGGAATTATTTGGAAACTATATTAAAGCACCTATATATTATACCTGAAAGCATATTAAAAATAAGATAGAAGAATGAATTTGAAAAAGCATCAGATTAAAACAAAGATAAGAAAAATTAGAATTTCAGATGGACAAAACAGAAAGGATATTATATGGAAAATACTTGAAGAAATATTGTTTGAACAATTTCAAATTTGATTAAAAGCATTAGCACCTTCATTTAGGAAGTTCAGCAAACACTATGCAGGATAAATCAAGAAAACCATATCTAGGTAGAGTATAGTCATAATAGTCCTAAAACAAGAATTAATAAAAGTGTCTTTAAATATCCAGATAAAAAATACATTACACACAGGAGAATGTGTGTAGAAACAAGGAGCTGGGAAGACAAAAGAAATGATATAATTGGAGGGTAAAAGAAAATGCTTTCAACTTAATACTCTTTAGCCACCAAAAATATATTTTAAAAATTAAGGCAAGATGAAGGCAACACCAAATTACTGAAATTTGAGATAATTATATCACCATAATCTATAGAAACTGCATGCTGGATTTTGCAAATGCTAACACAAAGTTTTTCAGGAAGAAGGAAATTATATCAATGGAGATTTGAATCAGTAGTAAAGAAGTAATAAAAAAAAGCATTTGAAAATATAAATACATATTAGCTTTTATATTATTCAGTTATTTAAATTTCCATAAGCCCTGTAAAGCAAAAATTATCATAGGATACTGTGAGTTTATAAGTATTTTGAATAAAACAAAGAAAATAATAACACAGAGAGTATGCAAGTAGAATTATATGGTTTTAAGTTTCTTAAATGTGAAATGGGTCGTATTAATTCAAGATGGAATGTGATAATTGCAAATGCACATTTTAATCCCTTTAACAATATGACCACCATCGAGAGTTACAGATAAAAAGCCAGTAGAAAAGACAGAGTGGAATATTAAAAATTTCTCATTTCCTAAATGAGGTTAAGATGCTAGATTTAAACCTAGACCATCAGAAATTACATTAAAATGAACAAAAACATACTAATTAAAAAACTGAGATTGTCAAACTGGAAGGATTGGAGAGGTGTCATTTCAAAATGATAAAAGGGTTAATCCTTAAAATGTACATGCACTTAATTACAAAGTTATAAAAAATGTATAAAGCAGTGATTGACATAACTAAATGAGAAATAAAAAACCACAGGCAGAATTAGAGATTTAAATATTCTTCTCTCAGTAATGATATAACAAGTGGACAAAATATGAATTAGGAAATACATTAGTTTTCTATTGTTGCTGTAACAAATTATCACAAACTTAGTGGTTTAAAAATCACAGATTTATTACTTGTCAACTCTGAAAGTCAGAAGTCCAAAGTAAGCCTTATGTAAGACAAAATCAAAGTGTGAGAAGAGCTGCAGTCCTTTTGGAGGAACCCACAGAGAACTCATTCATTGTCTTTTCTAGGTTCTAGAGGTTGTCAGCATTTCTGGGCTCACAGCCACATCACTCCAACTGTCATTACATATTTATTGTAACACCTCCTTCTCTTAGTTTCCTACCTCCTTGTGAGCCCTTCTAATTACATTTGCCTACCTGGATAATCCAGAATAATCAAGAGCCTTAACTTAATCACACCTGCAAAATCCATTTGCCACATAAATTAACATATTCACAGGTTCTGGGGATTAGGACATGGAAATCTTTGGGGGATCATTATTTATCTTACTAAATATACAGTATAATTTAATACTGTTTCCAATGAATATGCAAATAGATATTTATAGAAAATTTTATTTAGCAACTTCAAAACATATATTATTTCAGTGTTCATGGAACATTTATCAAGATAGACCATATACTAGGCCATAAAATAAATCTTCATAAGTTTCAAAGGTTTGAAATTATTTAGAATATGTTTTCTAACTACAAGTAAAATGATTAGAAATATATAAAAACAAAACAATGCATCTAGAAAATTCTCAAATATTTCAAAATTAAGCAACTCACTTCTAAATAACTCATAAGTAAATGGAGAAAACACAAAGCCAATTAGAAAATAGTTCACCAGAATGATAATGAAAAGACAAAATATAAAATATATGAAATATTGCCCAATTAATCTTTACAGAGAATATAAAAGCTTCATATACAAGGAATAAAGATCTAAAACTAATGTTCTAAATGTCTACCTTAGTAACCCTAGAAAGTAAAGAGCAAATTAAACCCCAAAGTAAAGACAATGAAAAATATGTTAGAATAAAAATTAAAGAGAAAATAAATAGGAAAATTAATAGTCAAAAATTGATTCTTCAAAAAGAGTAATGAAATTGGAAACTCCTAATAGACTATTTTTTTAAAAAGTTAAAATACAAATTAACAATATCAGGAATAATAAAATGGCCATCATTACGGATTCCACTCTTATGAAAAGAGAAACAGGAAACATTAGTGTCTCAGTACATAAAGCTAAGTCCATTCCTTTTATAACAAAATAACAAAGACTAGCTTCTTGTTAAAGAACATAAATTTATTTCTCCAGTTCTGAGAAGTTGGACAGTCCAAGATCAAAGTGCTGGCAGATTAGTGACTGGAAATGACCCACTTTGTAGTTCATGGATGGCTGTCTTTTTGTTCTGTCCTCACATGGTAGAAGAGGCAATCAAGTTCTTTTTGGCCTCCCTTAAAAGGGCACTAGGCCGGGCGCGGTGGCTCACGCCTGTAATCCCAGCACTTTGGGAGGCCGAGGCGGGCGGATCACGAGGTCAGGAGATCGAGACCATCCTGGCTAAAACAGGGAAACCCCGTCTCTACTAAAAATACAAAAAATTAGCCGGGCGTAGTGGCGGGCGCCTGTAGTCCCAGCTACTTGGGAGGCTGAGGCAGGAGAATGGCGTGAACCCGGGAGGCGGAGCTTGCAGTGAGCCGAGATCCCGCCACTGCACTCCAGCCTGGGCGACAGAGCGAGACTCCGTCTCAAAAAAAAAAAAAAAAAAAAAAGGGCACTAATCCCATTCATGACAGGGCCACCTTCATGACCTAATCACTTGGCAAAGGCCCTCTCTCCTAGTACCATTACATTGGGAGCTAGAATTTCAACATATGAATTTTGAGGGATCACAAAAATTAAGACCATTACTATTAGGAAATTCTTTATGTATAAAATTCTCCAATTTAGATAAAGCAGACAAATATCTTGAAATTACAACTTACCAAAATTAATGAAGAGAAAATAGAAAATGTCAATAGTCCTTATGTGCATTAAAATAAATTTATAATTTAAAACCATTTCAAAAAGAATATTCCAAAACCGGAAGCATTAAATGATAAATTATATCAAATGCTTAAAGAAAATACTGTCAATAAAGGTGAAAGAAATCTTCCCAGCTTGCTTTATGAAGCCAGCATAACCTGATAAAATAAGCTGACACAGATATTATCAGAAAGAAAAATTACTGTCCAATATTGTTTGTGACATAAAAGAAAAATCCTCAATTAAATATCAGCAAATATAAATGCATCTATTATATGTAGAAACGATAGTAGATCACTAGAGAGTGTGATTTATCCCTGAGATATAAGGTTATTTCAACATTTGAAAATCATCCAACAATATTAGGAGAATAAAGAAGAAAATCCACAGGATCATCTCAATAGGTGCAGAAAAGGAATTTGACAAACTTCAACAAGAATTTACAATAAAAATTCTTAGCAAAGTCAGAAGGGAACTTCTCAAATTCGATGATGGTTGTCTATTAAAATCATCTACAGCTAACTTACAAACACTTAATAGTGAGACAATGAACATGTTTTTCTTGAGACCAGAAATAAGTCAAGAAGGTATACTTTTACAACTTCTATTCACCACTGCAGTGGAATTTCCAGCTAGGCAATATGGCATCAGGAAGAAACAAAAGTCAGAAATTTTACAACAGACTGTGTAAAAATCTACTTATTCACATATTCAACTCTATATAATTTCTGAAGCAAAACCGCACTCCGTAGTGTAGACGGGTGCCATCGATGTAGGCAACCAAAGGAGATGCAGTTTAAGTTGGAAAATAATGGAAAAAGAGCCTATTAAATTGCTGGTTATTATAGAAACATAAATTAACAACTACATACAAACATACACAATTTAAATAATACTAAATATTTACAAAAATAAAAATCACTAGAACTAATAAGTCAATTTATCAATGTTTCATTAGAAAATATCTGTATTTTAAAACAATTGCATTTTACTTTTACTAAAGAAAAAAATAGGTAATAAAAATGAACTCTTTGCAATAGCATTAAAACTTATGAAATACTTAGGAACATAATATATTAAAAAGTATATACATCAAAATCTATAAAGCAGAAAGAAATTTAAAATAACCTAAATAAGTGGAGAGACCATGTTCATTATTTGGAAGACTCAATGTTAACAAGAAGTCCATTCTTCCAAATCGGTCTTTAGATTTAATGCCTTCCTAATCAAGTTCAAGGAGGGTTTTTTACAGTAATATTTAGTGAAGCCACAATTTACATGATAAAACAAAGGACCTATAGGAGCAAAAGAATCTTAAAGCAGAAAGGCAAAATTAGAAGACATTCTATCTGATTTCAACTCTTACCATAAAACTACAGAAATCAAGACAGTGTAGTATTGGGTAAAAAATTGCACACTGAGTAATGAAAGAGAACAGAATCCAGAATGGACCCACATACATACAATGTATTTTGGATGATGGCACTAGGATATTCAATGAGAAAAGTACAGTGCTTTCAACAAGTGTTAATGGAACAACTAGGCATCATTATGAAAAAAACATTCAAACTTAATTTCTACATCACACCATATTAAAATTATTACTTTAAAATAATATGTAAGAATAGCTTCCTAATGCAAAGACACTGAGACAAGATTAAATTTTACATGTTTGAAATGTAGGAGAAGCCCAGTCTGATTCAAGGGTAGAGAATGTATACAGACTAGATTGTGTAGAATAGGCAGGGAGGGACAAGATCATGTAAGGTTTTATGAACCACATTCAGGAGATACATTTTGTTACATGTATAATTGGTAGCCGTAAGTATGATTTTAGCCGGGGAGTGATGTGATCTGATTTATGTTTTACAGAGCTCACTCTCGCTCTGTGGAAGGTGGACTGCAGGGAGACCAATGAGAAGGTTATCATATGCCCTGAAGAGAGAGAATAACATTTGGATTGGGATTTTGATAATGAAAATGGTTAGAAGTGGTTAGGTTAATGATATATATTGATGGAAAAGTTTTTTAAAAAGTTGCCAGTGAATTAGAAATGGGACATATAAAATGAGAAATATCAGAGCTGATTAAAAAGGGAAAATATCAGAGGAAAGCTGATTTGTTGGGGACATCTGATCATTCATTTCATTTTGTCTATAGAATAGTTGTAATTACCTGTAGGCATTTAAGCCTAGGGTCAAGTAAGAGTTTTGATCTGGAAATATACAATCAAGAATGATGAGTGCCTAAACCTTACCTGAAATTTAAGACAGGAACATTGGAGATGGAAAAACAATAAATAAGGCTAAGAAGAAATAAATAATTAGGATAAAAATTGACTAAGGCTCAAGAATATAGTGTTTAAAAAAAAATGGAATGGCTATTTTTTTTCAAATTTGCATAGAGGTTGATTGAATAAATCCCTGATTCCAGAAAGATACAGAACCCTTTGATTAACTTCAGATATAGATATTCAAATGTCATGGGGGTGTAAGTGCTAATGAAGAGACACATTGGCAAGCAATTTGGAGCAGAGCAGCAAAACAAATTTAAGAGAAACTTTTCTGTTGAATTAAGAATGTTAATGTTTGTTTCATATAAAATGTAACTTCAATAATTGTTTTAGAGTCTTGACATAATCAAAAGAGCAATTGGGGAACATACATTAGGTGACTATATCTATATGGTGGATGGAGGAACTGATGTGGAATCAGAAGCAGAAGTATAAATCAAATTGATATTATGAAAGAAGGGATACCAGAACAAGGTACTTAAATTGACTGAAAGAAAATAATCATAGAAGGCTCTGACTTCTTGAGAGACTGGAGATTTTTGAAATAATATATATAGGAAAATAAGTTAAATAATGCTCAGATGTGTTTTATTTCTCATTAAAGAAGATGCAAGTGGTAATGTGCAACAAGGACTAGGAAATGCTGCACTGAATCTAAAGAAAAAGATGAGGAATTGGACTGCAAAGGTTAAAAGTCAATTCGTAGAAGTGATCACCTGAGCCATATAAGTAAAGAAAATTGCCCAATTTAAAGAAAATAAACTACAGAATATTGAAAAACACTCATTGTGGAGTGTGAATAACTAGAAAAGTCAGCAATAAAGTCAGAGATGCAGCAACAGTGTCACAATAAGAGAAAACATTTTAGCTCCTTAGGCAATACTTCATTTACCAGTTCTGTGACCTTGAAAAAAAATATTAACTTTCCTACATTTTACAAGAACTAATAACTACTTCATACGGCTAAAAATTACATTAGATATACTTACAAAGCACTAAGTACAATTCCTAGTAAAAAGCAAGCACTGAATACTTAAATATAATTACAAAAATGTAAATTTAAATTATAATAACAAAAGTTGTTAGAATATTTAGTCATAGATTTATAATGGTTAACACTTACTATATTTGAGGTGGATAATGTCTAATGATGGCCACTATCAACTCCTTCCCTCCCAGTATGATATGCCACCAATTAAAGATGAGACCAAAGATGTGATCTTATCTCCCTCCTCTTAAATTTAGCCGACCTTAAAGACCTGATTAAACATTAACAAGTGGAAAAAGAGACTTTTCAGGCTAGATCATAAGAATAGTTGTACATCATGAATCTCTTGGAAACTTACTTTTAGGTCACTTCCTCT
This sequence comes from Homo sapiens, assembly GCF_000001405.40. Taxonomy (NCBI): domain Eukaryota; kingdom Metazoa; phylum Chordata; class Mammalia; order Primates; family Hominidae; genus Homo; species Homo sapiens. Next base: position 93,820,723 of record NC_000006.12, on the reverse strand, counting down.
GAGGACCTAAATGCCATGTATTGAGAGTTCTAGCTATGTAGGGAGATCATATACAGGTACAATGCTTAGCCTCAACAGCTACAGCAATAAGCAGCCATACAGTGAGCAATTTTTAACAACCAGTCAATTCTTCAGATGTCTTCAGTCCAATCTTCCTTTTGAACTACACCTGCATGAAGAACTCAGTAACAATCACCTTGCCAGTCTTATCACAAGGAACTGAGAGATAATCATAAATGTTGTCTTAAGCTACTAAAATTTGGAATGATTTTTTTTCCACAGCAAAATGGTAACTGATTAAGTGTTTAACACTCATAGCAGAAAGCAAAAACCAAAACAAAAAAAACTCCACATCGCCAGTCAGTTTCAGTGAATATCACAAAACTTCCCCTCATTCTTAGGCTTTAGGAGATTTTCCTGCTTTTGAATTTTCCTTTCCTTGGATACTTCTAAGTTCATAATTTCCACATTGCTATTCTGTTGAAGATTTCTTGTTCTTCTCTGCTTTATCAAAATCTCTACTTCTTACATTTTTTCCCCAAGCAGCACATTCTATACAAGATAATGTCTCGTAAATGAAGATAAAATGAAATACTTAAAGGGAAATAAAAAGTATGTTTCTGGCCTTGTATTATCATGCTAAATTTCAGTTAGAAAAAGGTATATCACAATTAAATATGACATACATATTTATTTTATATAGTTTGTTGTATATTAAGTTCTGATGAGGAATATAAGTTCTATTATCTTATTGTTTCTACAGTAAAATATATTTCAACATAAAGAACTTGACTCAGCTTAAATCATTAAAATAAAAACATTTTATAGTTCTAAACAACTGCATAAAAACCTAAGTTTTATTATTTTATTTGAAGTTCTATGTCCACAATACTACCATCATAATTTTAGAACTTTTGAAACATTCATTTTAATCTTCGGCTGCATTGATAATTTTTTTAAGTTAATTCAATCATATGCTTTCAAAAAGATTTAAGTATTGATTATTACTTAAGATAACTTGAAAGTATGATTCTATGTAATATGAGACAACTTTTGTTGAAAAAATATTTTTATCTATTTTCAAAAATGTAGAAAGCCCTTTTAAAAGCAGGATCACTAAAGTATGCTTACGTTTATTTAATGACAACATTCTGATCAGGTTTTCTTTTCTTTTTTATACTCCTTTAATTTTTGCAGTTTTCTTTAGATTGTGCCACCTCCTGGTCTAGCTGTTTCTTTGTGAATTTCGTAATAGGCTCTCTGTTTGAATTCTATGGTGTTATTCCAAACATTGCTGCCTTCTTTTTGAAGTATGTGGCTCACATTTCACACAGATCCTTTATGATGATTTCCTTGCATAGTGGGAAGTTTTTGACGTGAAGGTTTACTGGAGTCCCTTGGCTTTCAAGTTGGCTCAGAGCAGATGGTACTGCTAGAGAGAGCAACAACACAGCTTTGGGCTTGAAAATGTTAGTGTACACACGATGCTTTTTCCCCTCAGGACTGGTATGATTGATGGGACTTTGGAACTAAAAACTGAGAAAAGTAGATCCTTCACAATTGGCTATTTGCTAGCAAAAAAAAAAAAAAAAAAAAAAAATTCTCGAAGAGGAATAGGACATAGTTCATTGTTTCAGTGTCAACTATCAGTCCGCTGCCATCTAGAGTGGCTTGCCTCTAAAAATAGCTTTAAAATTGCTGAGTTTAAGGGAGCCTGTAATAATAAATGTAGGGAAAATGAAATAGTTATTTAGACCCAAAACGCCTTTTAGCATTTCTATCATACAGAATGGAAACTAAACTGCACTTAAACTTCTGCTCCAAAAATAAGAATAAAGGAAAGAAAAGAGACATAAAGCTTAAGTACTGTGTTTTGAAATTAAAGTGCACCTAAAGGAAGGGTTAAAATAGGCAATTTAGAGTAAATAATTGAAGCAATACTGTTATTGTGAGGACTGGCATGTGTGTATATATATATATATATATATATATATTTACACACATGAATGATGGCTATGAGGAGGAAGAGAGAGAAAAGAGACACTCAGGTAAATTCTTCATTATAGTGTATAATATTTTCCCATAAATCATAGAATTGAAGTATTTAAGCAGAACGAATAAAGGTTATGCAGGTAATTATACAGAACCAGCAAATGGAGATAACATTAAAATTGTAGTAGATTGTTTGCTTTCAGCAATGTTATTGCTAACAAAATAATATAAACATGTGTTTCTTAATCAGTTTATTTAGTAATTTATTTTAGCTAGTGAAGTGGCTACATACTTCTTATCAGAGATTGTGTCAGAAAATTACTTTGAAATACAAAATACTATTACACAAGTTGAGAGAGATCTTTAGTTATTTAATATAGGGTAAAGTGACACTGTGTAAAAGAAATCTTTCCTTTAAAAAAAAAATTATACAGATTTGTTAAGGCTCTAAGGCATCAAGGACTGGGTTTAAATGATAGACCAGGGAGATTCCACTGAAAATCCAGTGACAGGGAAGTAATATAGTGTAGGATGGTGACCACTATCAACACAAAAGCCAAAATTTGTGGGGTGGTATAAGTACAATTGTGGCCAATGCTGAAAGCTCCTTTGCACCCAGCAAGTCTTTTCACTCTGTTTTTTAGTAATTACTCCATACTAAGTGTTCTATGGTCATTAGTCCCTGAAATCTTCACAGCAACCATATGAATTGTTTGTTATTATTTCAACTTTATATATGAGAAAACTAAGATTTAGCTATGTGAAGTATCTTGTCCAATAAAAACAGTTATTAAGTAAAATTACAACACAGGAAAACAGATGTAAAAGTCATAATTCCTGACATATACAAAGATTTCATGCAGTGCTAATCAATAAATGTAGAGATCTTTATGTTATTTACTACCATATTCCCAATGTCAAGAATAGTGCTAACAGATACAGCATGAATACATGGAATGAAGAGTGAAATAAGTGTTTTTAAAGATAACATTTCGAATTATAGAACAAGGATACTAAATTATTATATAAATTTAGTAATATATATTCATTAAAATGTGATGTTGAAAAATAGAAAGTACAAAATACATACTTTTATAGCATCACAAACTCAGTGATTTCATAATATGTAAAAAATAAGGTTACAGAGCAATATTACACGTTAAAATAAACTAAAGCTTCTTCTTTTAACAAATTATTGTAGCCTCCCAAAATTCATCTCAGATATATTCTTCTCCAGGAACGAATTTATTTATTTTCCATGAAGATAGGATTATCTTTTCTAGATAACTGGAAACACCACATACACACAAAAAGATCTGCCTTTCTTAAGCAGTAGTTATTCATTATTTAGTTTTGAAATTATTTCACATTTTGGCATTTTGATAATAGCAATTTATCAATAACTAGCTATAACCAAATATATGTTATGTCTAAATTAGATCACTTTGAGAAGATGAATGGAGAATGTGTGGCTTGTATCTTAGAATAAGCAAAGTTTAAGTTTATGTGAAATTGTTTGCACTTATGAAACAATGAAATGGCAATTAAGTGTGCTGGGAGGTACAGTTTAATTTCAAAAGATTTCAGAAAAAGACAAATCACAGGAGAACCCCAGTGAAGAGTGGCTTTGAAATAAATGTAAGGTACAGAAAGATAAGATGAGCAAAACGGTGCAAGCCGAGAAGTCAGCTAAAATAACAATTATTTTTCAAATATAGGAAATGAAGAATATTCCATGGGGAAGACAGTGAAGAAATCAGCCAGGATGGATATAAAGACATCAAAATGACTTTGAGATCTATAAAAAATAGATGCCAAAATTTGTATATTCTACCGATATCCAGGTAACACAGTCCATTTGTTTGCACAATGTTTATTTTTTCTTTACTCCTTGCTAATTCTTCATTTCATCTAAAGCTACATGAACACTTTGACTTTTCCTACTCTTTACCAACTAATTCATATGGCTTCACTTTAAAACAAAAATAAGAGAATTTCATGGATTAGATATTTATGGCATTGCTCTTAATTTTGAGTTTCAGTTTTTAAATTACAGAAGAATGTCAGAGCTAGTGATTTTTGGAAAGAGGTATTGATACAATTATACAGGAATTATTCTGCTAACATAAGTAGAATAATCTGGTATGTTCTTTTCTCTAAAGATACTCTGATTGATATGAGAATGCCATAGAGTATTGACAAAGAGAAAAAAAGTTTCTGCCAAATTTTCAAGCTATTTAAACATGAGTTCTGTTTCATAATTTTGCCTACAATCTCTTCCAATAAAAATGTTATTGTCTCAGAATAAATGTTTAATACCTAAAGTGTTCTTTGGTCTCAAAGTGTCAAAATGTTAACAATGTGATTTGGTATTACTGACTTTTTTCTATCAGCATAGCTGAGAACCACTGATATAAAATTTCCATATATTAAAAATATATTTTCTCTCATAACTTTAAAAAGTCTTCATTTTTCTGATTAAGCACTGAAACTTTGACTTTTAATTCTTCTTTTTTGAATTCTGATTATTCAAGATAGGTTATTCACACTTTGGGCAACTCACTACATTTCTGTGGCATATCAGAAAAGTCCTTTTTCTTGGTCAGCTTATTTTAGGAATCCTATAAATATGTCCAAACTGCAATACAATGTGCTCATGAGTTTGATATGTTTATACATTTGGATAACCTTTTGGATAACCATTACTACAATCATCATATAGAAGATTACCATCATCCCATCTCCAAAGTGTTTCCTTAATACCTGCCCAATCCATTCCACCTACACTCATCATAATGCTAAACTTCATTTATCATAATGATGCTATTCATCTTTAATAGATTTTCAAATAAATGGATTCATACATTTTGAACTCTCTTGTGTATGGAGTCCTTCACTCAAGATAATGTTGTTGAGGTGCATCCATGTTATTGCATGTCATCAATAGTTCATTTCTTTTTATTTCTGAGCACTATTTCACTTATGATCATACTGTTAATTTGTTTATCCATTCAACAGTTATATATATGTTGTTTCCAGTTTGGAGTTCTTTCAAGTAAAGCTGCTGTGAACATTCATGTTCAAATGTTTGTATGGACAAATGTTTTTATTTTTTAAAATGTCTAAATTGGAGTGGCAGGGTCTCATGGTAAGTATATGTTTAGCTTTATAAGAAAGTGCAAAACTGCTTTCCAAAATGTTTGTATATTTTTACAATCCCACCAGCAATGTACAAGAGTTCCAGTTGCTCCACAATCTTGACAGAATCTGGGTTTTGCCAGTCATTTATTTTAGTAATTCTGTGTATACAGACTTTCCTCTTTAAAAAATTATTTGTATAAATTTAATGGAGTATAATCATAATTTTGTTACATAGATATATTGAGAGTGGTGAAGTCAGGGCTTTTAGTGTATCCATCACTGGAATAATGTACATTGTACCCAGTAATTAATTTCTCTTCATCCACCCCCTCCTACCCCCACCCTTCTGAGTCCCTATTTTCTGTCATTCCACACTCTACCTCTGTGTGTACACATTATTTATTTCCACTTATAAGTGAGAACATGTGGTATTTGTCATTCTGTGTCTGAGTTGTTTCACTTAAGATAGTGGCCTCCAGAGACTTTTCTATCTTATATTAAATTGCATCTTCTCTGATGACTGGCATTGAACATCTTTTGTGATGAATTTGATCTTTCTAATATCTCATTTTGTAAACTGTCTGTTAAAAATTTTTGGTTTTTTTTTCCTGAGTTTATTGTTTTGTTATGCTTTATTTTATTATATTTTATTGTGTGTTTATTGTTTTATTATGTTTTATTATTGTTTTATTATGGAGTTTTAAATAATATCTATATAATTTGTATTCAGCTGCTAGTCAAATATATATATAGTAAATATTTTCTCTCAGTTGGTTGCTTGCTTTAAATTGTCAATGATCTTTTTTTTTCCTTTTTTTTTTCCTTTTAAGACAGGGTCTTGCTCTGTTGCCCAGTCTGGAATGCAGTGATACAATCATAACTCACTGCAACCTCCAACTTGTGGGCTTAAGCAATTCTCCAGCCTCAGCCTCCCAAGGTGCTAGGACTATAGGCATGTGTCACTGTGACTGGCTAAATTTATTTATTTATTTTGGAGAAATGGAGACTCACTGTGTTATCCACGATGGTCTCGAACTCCTAGCCTCACGCAATCCTCCTAACTCAGCCTCCCAAATTACTGGGAGTACAGGCATGAACCACCATGCCAGGCTTGTCAATTATATTTTTAAAAGATTTAATATAATAAAAAAAGCATTTAAAATTTTTTTCATTGGCATTTGAGGTGCTCTACATTTGCACAGATCCAGATTTCCAAATGTTATTATTATGATTCTACCTGAATAACCTCCTTTGATACTTTTGTGCTTATATGCTGACAGTAAATTCTTTCAGCTTTTGGTTGTCTGTAAAAAGCTTTCTTTTACTCATATTTTTGAAAGATATTTTTCTGGATATGGAATTCTAAGTTGTTGATTTCTTTTTTCAATAATTTAAAGACTTGACTCCATTATCATCTGTAAAGCATGATTTGTGATGATTAGTCAGCTGTCATACATATTTTTGTTTTCATGCATTAATAAGTAATTGTTTCCTATTTCACCCATGCTCACCCCAGCTGCTTTTAAGATTTTATGTTTAGCGCTGGTTTTTCAGCAGCTTGATTATTATGTGCCCAGTGTGATTTTCTTCATTTTGTGTGTGTGTGTGTGTGTGTGTGTGTGTGTGTGTGTGTAATTTCTTAAAATTCTTGGGCATGGGTTCAACATAGTTCATAAAATTAGAAAAATTCTGGCTAGTAGTTTTCAAATATTTTGTCTATAGCCTTATTTCTCTCCTTCCTGTACTTTACTAAAAGATAACCAATTCTATCTTTGGTATATTTTTTAAAATTTACTTGTGTGCTTTGTTATGTATTCACATTCTCTAATCTTTCTTCTGAAACATGTAATCTCCAATTTATTTCACTCAAAGTATGTTTAATTTCATATATTACATTTTTATCCTTAGAAATTTGACTTGTGCCTTGTTGTAACTTCCATTTACCTTGGCATGTCCGTCCTTTCATCTACCTTCTTGAGAGTATAAAGTCTATTTATAAAAATAGTTTTAATGTGCCAATATTCTAATTCTATAATCTGTGTCATAGGACTATTTTTTATTATTTTATTACCTAAGAAAATAATGATATTAGTTAGCCCATATGTAGTCTCATTATTTTCCTGAGTAAAGAATATCTGAATACAGATGATATTTTTATATACATTTATATTTTTTCTCAAGATACCTGGAAAACTGAAAGCTCAATACTGACAATGTTTATTATTTTATTGATAATAATGGTTACATTAACAAAATTAATTGAGTTATTAATATATTAAATAGTTATCTTCAATAATATATTGTAGCCCC